>NC_000001.11:240426545-240578060 GCF_000001405.40 Homo sapiens | reverse complement strand
ACAACAAAAAACAGTAATCCTATTGCCTCCACATCTAACAGCCCAGCGACCCACCTTCAGCTTCTTGACCTTTGGGTTTATTGCTACATATCTACAAGGATTAATGAACTGCTCTCAAGAAAGGATAACTTTGAACTCTTGGATATTTTGTCTTTAATGAGTGATTTATGTAGTTCAATTATCCAGAAATATAGATTTGCTCACATAGATGTGTCTGAGCCTGATTTATTTTCATTGTGAATTTCCATAAACCTACAGGCTAAAATTGTAAAATATTTTATTCAGAAGAGACATACAAGTAACCATAAGTTATGATTTAAAAATCGCTAATACTGTAAACTAGGCAATTTACTCATTTGTGAATTAACCAAAACATCTTCAACTTGACACTAAGACTAACATCCCAAACTGTAATAATTTCCCAAAGAAATACGTTTCATGATATTTTTCAAGTTGAGGTTTTCAAGTTAAGACCCGAACTGTGTTCAGAAAACATGCATGTAAATTGTAGGCCCACCTCCCGTCATCAATCACTCTTACATGCATATGTAACTTTCATTCTTTTAATGTCCAAATGGTGAGAACCCAAACTGAACAAAGAAAAGCCCTTAATTCTCAAGAGTGGCACAACATATTTGTGTGTGTCGTTGTTGGAGAAAGTTATGTTTATAGTAAAGAAGAATCTAAATTAGGAACACACTAAGATTTCCTTTTTTTCCATTTTTTTTTTCCTTGTATGACACATGACAGAAGAAACATGTTTTTAATTTTAGGACTTTTTCTTTGTTGAAATAAGTTGCGACAACATCACTTTTATGGCCGACTCAATTCCATGTCAGTTTTCAGGAATGGAACTTCTATTTATTTTGATCTCGACGCTGCCAGCAATGGTTTTAAAGCTCAGTTAAAGAAAAGATCCTTGCTTTGCATGACTTGGTAAAGGAAAATATAAAGATCCAAGATTTATTTTGGCACCCACTGTAAGTAGAGACAAACAATAATTTGGAAAATTTGTGTAAATGTTACCAGTATGAATCTCATTGATCTGCTTTTTAAATAAGTAATGGTAAGAAACACCATGTAGCACTTGACTAAGAAATACACATCGGAAACAAAATAAAAAATCTTCCCAAGTAAGTTCTTATCATATACTGCTTTCTGCAGTATTAATTATGTGGTTGTTTTAAAAATAAAATACAGTAAACGAATGCAAAAGGAACTGGCAGAGCTTAATAAACCTCGACTCAGTTTAAACTCATTGAGTTTAATTTCATTCTAATTGGAGTATCTGAAATTTAAAGAATAAATTGTTTTAATTTCTGATATAGTGTCTGTCAGGCCCCAATATTTGGTTGTTTTTATTCCAAACAAAGAGTTAAGTTTAAAAGGTTTTAGTTTTCTGAATATTTTAATTAGAATTATGTTATCTGACTGCCCCCTCCCCCACTTCCCACTACAGTGCTAACTAGGTCAACCAGGGTTGTTTGGCAGCCTTTGGGATTATGGACTCCTTGTGTGGTTTCATGGTTTCTTAAAAAAAAAGTTTTGTAACGAAACGAAACCAAACCAAAGCTATGATTCTCAAGGGTTTGTGGCTTGATTGAAATCTGAACAGGAAATATGGACTGGTGATGCTAGTAACGTGACCAGCTGTCACAAAAACTTCCTCACACTCTAAGCGAAACCAGGAAGCTTCGTCAAGAGAGGGAAGGAAGATCCCCTTACAAGATTAGTAAGAGACTACATTTGAGAGGAAGGAGGTGGAGCAGCAAACCAAGGTGCAAAGAAAACATAGACAATTCTATTGCTGGCCCTAGTTCATGAAACTGAATTATCTATGAATTTAAATTCCTAGTTAAGCTTGTATGCTGTCTCCACGAATCAGCTGGTGTACATCACGGAGCTCACAGGTTTTCTTTATTGCCTGTATCCTCCAGAGAATTCATTTTCTACAAGGTATGTGGTTGTTTGCCATAGAAGAAAGTTGGAAAAAATATTTTTAAAGTTACTTTCACAGGACGCATAGCAATTTAATTCATCTTTCTTCTTATTTTGGGCACATTTCTTTTCTTTCTCGGGTTTTACCATTGATAACATTCTGTAATTTAACAAGTAAGATTTTGTTCTTCCCTCCCCCTCCATCTTTTTTTTTTTTTTTTCCAGCAGAGCACACAACACCAAAGCTCTGATGTTGTTCTTGATTCTCCTTCTATGTAAGCTTTGTTAAAAACTGAATCTTGTGCTGGGCACGGTGGCTCACGCCTGTAATCCCAGCACTTTGGGAGGCTGAGGTGGACAGATCACCTGAGGTCAGGAGTTTGAGACCAGCCTGGCCAACATGGTGAAACCCCGTCTCTACTATAAATACAGAAATTAGCTGGGCGTGGTGGTGCGCGCCTGTAATCCCGGCTATTCAGGAGACTGAGTCAGGAGAATCGCTTGAACCCGGGAGGCGGAGATTGCAGTGAGCCAAGATCGTGCCACCACACTCCAGCCTGAGCGACAGAGTGAGACTCAGTCTGAAAAAAAAATAAAATTAAAATTAAAATTAAAAAGTGAATCTTGCTACAGTGGTATTTGGAATGAACAACATATTGGTCATATAAATGCAGCAACACATTAAATGTAAGAGTTACCCTTACATAGTGACACCCCCACCCCCCAACCCAGTCTGCTTTACTTGCCTGATTCTTGAGAACTATTTGGCTTTGCAACTCTCATTCTAGAAATAAAAGGGACAAGACTTGGTGCTTTCAGCTGTGAAAGATAAAAGAGGAGGTAGAACCAACATTTACCCTGAGACTATACTACTAGCTAAGGCCGAGGGGTGAATACTATCACAGTTAAATAAAACAAAAAAGGAGGCACATCAAGGAACAGATTGTGGAGCTGGGTAGCAGCGCTAAGGATCAATTTTTTTATTTTTATTTTATTTTATTATTATTTTTTTTTTGGAGACAGAGTCTCACTCTTGTCACCAAGCTGGAATGCAGTGGTGCGATCTTGGCTCACTGCAGCCTCCGCCTCCCACGTTCAACCAATTCTCCTGCCTCAGCCTCCCGAGTACCTGGGAGTACAGGCGCACGCCAACACGCCCAGCTAATTTTTATATTTTTAGTAGAGATGGGGTTTCATCATGTTGGGTAGGATGGTCTAGATCTCTTGACCTCGTGATCCGCCTGCCTCGGCCTCCCAAAGTGCTGGGATTACAGGTGAGGCACCACTCCCGGCCCAAGATCAGAATATTATTTTAATTTTGGACTTGTCTGTCAATATATCTTGTTGCATTTTAGAGAACTCCTGTGTGTGTCCATATCTTGTTGACTACAGGCCATACTGATCACCAAGACTGTTCCAAAATCATCCACTCATTTTTGCCCTCTTCTTCCACACCCTCGACACCCCCACCTCCCCACCAGTAATTCCAGGTCCTACTTTGCTGAGTTCTAGGCTAATTACCAAGAGCTCCTTTAAGTTTACTTAACCCATCTGCAAATGCCTGATATTCCTCTTCTTTTCTGCAAACATTTCTCCTTACTTTTATTAATGGCCTCCTCCTTCTGTCCCTTCTTAGAGTAAAAGCACCTTCCTCTTCTACGACCTACACCCATGTCTCAGAACTTCATTGCATCACATAAATAAATAGGTGAGGTCATGTAAAAGCACATGTGCCACGTGAGAGAAGTTATTTTTATATTACTAGTAGGTTCTTTTCTAAGAACTTAGTTCTTAGATGATACCTTTTTGCATTATTGATGTTTTTCTTTCTTTTCTGAGGAGTGGGGAGATCGTTTTAAAATTGAATTCTATACAACAGAAAAGAAATTTTAAACCTATCTCAGGCTGGGTGCAGTGGCTCACTCCTGTAATCCCATCACTTTGGGAGGCCGAGGCGGGCAGATCACAAGGTCAGGAATTCGAGACCAGCCTGGCCAACATGGTGAAACCCTGTCTCTACTAAAATTCAAAAAAATTAGCCAGGTATGGTGGTGGGTGCCTGTAATCCCAGCTACTTGGGAGGCTGAGGCAAGGAGAATCACCTGAACCTGGGAGGCAGAGGTTGCTGTGAGCCAAGATCAAGCCACTGCACTCCAGCCAGGGCGAGAGTGTGAGAGTTCGTCAAAACAAAACAAAACAAACCTATCTCTTATTATCTTATTTGAAACCCTTAACTCATTCCTGGATTCCAGTCCCAGCTCTGAGACCCCTAGCTCAGGGTTTACCATCCTCTACCCGCAACTCAGGCTATGGAAGGTCCCAGGCTGGAAAGGAACAAAGCAACTTCTTTCAGAGCTGTTAGATTCCACAGTCACTTGGAAAGCATTAATAGCACAGTCCTCAAAGGAAGGCCTCCTGAGGACTGGGTGTTGAATCCAGACTTCACCACTTATTGGTTGTGTGACTATGGAATTTTATACTTCAAATTAGGCTGGAATTTCATACCTCAAATTAGGCATCAAGATCGCAGGACGCCAGGGCAAGACCAGAGCGCCTCTGGCGTAGGACTTAAGAGGGTGTCAGAACCTAAGTTGTAAAGATAAATAAAATCTAAATGCAATGGTTTAAAACATCAAAATTAATGCCAAAAAAATCCATGGTGAACAAAATATCAAAATTTTAAAGAAAGACAGTGGCAGCAATAATGCTGTGTAGAGTTCTATATACGAAGCCTGAGCCAAAGAAAAAAAATCAGTAATACTGATTCTGTCCTTATTTACGATTGTGATGTTTTTTATTTTATGTTTTTAATAGTTGAAAAAAAAATAGAGACGAGGTCTCATTTGTTGCCCAGACTGGTCTTAAGTCCTGAGCTCGAGTGATCCTCCCTCTTTGGCCTCCCAGAGTGCTGGGATTACAGGCATGAGCTACTGCACCTGGCCCAGTTTTGATGTTTTATTCATCGTGATTTTTTTTTTCAAATTGATTTGCTGTTTCTTTTAAAAATATTTTATTAGTATTATTTATCTTAATTACTGAGTACTTTTTGCTCTCACTTAAAATTTGAGTGGAAGCCAACTGCCTCACTTTGCATCATTCCAGTCTCAGCTCTATTTAGCATTATTTTGATAGTTTTAATTCCACAGGCCAATGAATAATTCTACTTTAAAATTAAAGAGTTTATTATTCAGGTAAGGAAAACATTTTATTTTACCTATAAAGCCAGTTGAGAGTTAGTTTTGGCTGCATTATCACAGTGATCATCCCTTTTCAGCATCCCTCTCTCTGCATATTCCTTACTGACAAGTAGTTAAAACAAGTGCTTAATCCAATGGAAATTCAACCACTAGCTACTTCAGTCAACTGCTTGACTGAAATATTTAGTCAGTTCCATCACAATTTTTGAACTGGTGGTTTCCCAAACAACCAATCCACTAAGAAAGCTAGAGCATTATCTATAAGGAACAAGAATTGTGGGAGATGTGTATCTCACAACTGGAAGAAAATAGTTTGGTTTTAACTCCCTATAATCATTAGCTTCAAGTCCAGCAGGGGACAAAATGGACTAGTTACAGGGAGTGTTTTCCCTCTGTTGACATAGGGACATAATTTGTCAGCAGATGGGGAAGACTTCGTACTCTCTAAAGTAATTTGAGTTACCAGTGGTTTGTCTAATTTCATAGAATGCAAACAAGTAAGGCTTAGAAAAGTCATTCTATGTTTTATCTGTCAAGTAATGACAACTACTTTCATTTTTGTTCCAGGAATACAGGCTTACAATATCACTTTAGAGGTGATTAAAATGAAGGGAACACACCAGTGGATTAAATTTGATTCCATGATTAGCTATCACTAAAATCCTTCTGCAACCCATGGGCAATGTAAAGGATTTGTCCGAATATTCAGACACGAACACATCTTTTTAATATAAAAAAAATGCTGGGCTTCCTTTGACCTAATAAATCTGTAGAAATATTCTAGTTGTAATTGAAGCTGGAGAAGACAACAAGAGAAAGGGAAGAAGATGCTTATTTATCATTCGTTCAGTGTCAATTACGTCTTGGATCAAAAGGTGCCAAAATCCTCATGAGGCCCTGTGGGTGTAATCAAACTCCCTGCTGGAATTGGCCAATTCCAAGTGGTCATGCTGACGTAGGTGGCTGGTCCTGGCAGTCAGAATGTCTCCGAAATGGGAGAATTGATGGACAGCCCAGCTCTGGCGTTTGGCTTCTTTATTTCCTTGGTGCTCAAACAAAATCAGCAGTTTCAAATTCCTCAATTTGAATGCTGGGAAGTGACTGGTAATGGCATTTGAAGGTCCACTAAGCACCCCTGAAAAGTTTATCATAAGGCAAGAATTACCATACATGCCAGATAAGAAATTGACCCAAATCTTTTTCTTTTCTTTTTCTTTTTCTTTTTTTGCGATGGAGTTTCACTCTTCTTGCCCAGGCTGGAGTGCAATGGTGCCATCTTGGCTCACTGCAACCTCTGCCTCCCGGGTACAAAAGAGATTCTCCTGCCTCAGCCTCCTGAGTAGCTGGGATTACAGGCACCTGCCACCATGCCCGGCTAATTTTTCTGTATTTTTAATAGAGATGGGGTTTCACCATGTTGGCCAGGCTGGTCTCGAACTCCTGACCTCAGGTGATCCACCCACCTCGGCCTCCCAAAGTGCTGGGATTACAGGCGTGAGCCACCGTGCCCAGCTTCTTTTTCTATAGAGTAGTCCCAATCAGAACTACTCTACAGAAAAAGAATTATTTTAGAGGAATCTTAGAAATTGGCCAATTCAAACCTTTCTTGTTTTACAGATAATGAAACCTGTTCAAGGTCATTCAGTCTTTTAGAATAAACCTAGATGTATAGACTTCCTATTAGTGACTGGTGTTATTTCTACCAGTTGATTCTGCCTGTGGTAGGGAATGTTCTTTTTTAAGTTGAATATAGTTAGAATATTACGGAATAAAATTGGAAGTTTTTTTACATGAAGTAGAAAAACTATTCGCATGAATTTGAGATGAAAAATGTGTCTGGTTGTTTATGTTATAGACATACTAGTTCAATTTCAAAATCATTCCTATCAAAGATCATTTTAAAGTGTTCCAAATGTTGAAATATTATGTGATTTCAATATGTAGGTATTTAACCTGGATATGCCAGTTTTCTCCTGTATGCACTGTTCCTGCCTAAGTCACAGAGTCAGTCTCTGTCCATTCCAGCCCACAAGGTAAGCAGCACTAAGCTCAGTACAGTGATCATTAATGTAAAAAGAGAGAAAGGAATCAAATATTGTATGTGATGGTAAAAGTATTCATGACATGGCCTATAAATACCTGATACTTGGATCTTATTTGCATGATACCATCATTTTTGGAATGACTTTATTGGGGGTAATGAACAAAGTAGTGAAATTGTAAAACAGGATTGTCTGTACCAAATGAGTTCCCTTCTCACTTTAAAGACCGCCTGTGTAAAACACAATTTGATTGGTTCTCTTATTGTCTACATAGGAACATTGTCATATGTGGACAGTAAGTGTTTCAGTCTTTTTATTAAAAGGGGGCATACTGGTTTTTTGCTAGTTTCCTCAACTTTCTGAAACTTGTTCACAAACCTTCCATATTCTGCTTAATTTGGTGGGTTTTTTTGTTTTTTGTTTTTGAGAGAGTCTTGCTTTGTCACCAGGCAGGAGTGCAGTGGTGCGATCTTGGCTCACTGCAACCTCCACCTCCTGGGTTCAAGCAATTATCTTGCCTCAGCCCCCCGAGTAGCTGGGACTACAGGCACGCGCCACCATGCCTGGCTAATTTTTGAATTTTTAGTGGAGACAGGGTTTCACCATGTTGGCCAGGATGGTCTTGGTCTCTTGATCTCGTGATCTGCCCGCCTCAGCCTCCCAAAGTGCTGGGATTACAGGCATGAGCCACTGCACCCATCTGTTAATTTAGTTTTAAAAAGACAATAGCATGGACCCAACAACCTAGCTTTCCAGTAAAAACATTTCAATGTCTATGAAAATCGAATAAGTGTCTCTGTTTATATATCAACCACTTAAAGCATCCACAGAATAGAAGATATTTTCAACTGAACTGTAAAAACATAGCAGATTGGACATCAATGTAACTGCCAAAAATCCAGCAGGAGGCAAACAACAGCCCAATACAGAATCAACATAAGTTTCTAATGCAATTAAAAAAATTTTAGTGAAGTATAATTGGCATACAATAAACTATGTGTATTAGTCTGTTTTCACATTGCTATAAATTTTGATGAAGTCTAATTTATCAATTTTTTCTTTCATAGTTTGTGCTTTGGGTGTCATATATAAGAAATCTCCTAACACAGGGTCGCAAACCTTTCCTTTCTTTTTCTTATGTGAGTTTTATAAGTTTTACATTTGTATCTGTTACCCATCATGAGTAAATTTTTGTATGTGGTGTAAGGTATGGATCAAAGTTCATATTTTTTTCCCCATCTATGGATAGCCAGCTGTTCCAATACTATTTGTTGGCTATATATCCGTTCTCTAACAAATTGCCTTTACATCTTTGTCAAAAATTAGTTGTCTACGTATGTGTAGTTCTACTTCTGGGCAAACTATTCTTTTTCTTTGATTAATTTATATATCTTGACACTAATTAAACACTTTCTTGATTATAGTAGCCTTATAAGAAGTTTTGAAATCAGGCAGTGTTAGTCTTTCAACTTTGTTATTCTTTTTCAAAATAGTTTTTGGCTATTCTACATTTATTTTCATATGAATTTTAGAATCATCTTGTAAATATCTCCAAAAAACTGCTGGAATTTTTACTGAAATTGAATCAAATCAGTAGATCCATCTGGCGAGAACTGGTATCTTAATAATCCTGAGTGTTTCAGCTCATGAACAAGATATGTCTGTCTCCATTGATTTAAGTCTTCTTTAATTTCTCTCAGCAATATTCTGTAGTTTTTAATGTACGCATTTGTACATCTTTTGTCAGTTTTCTAGTTTTCTTCCAAAGTGTTCCATGTTTCTGTTGTAATTGTTAAGTAATTTTTTGTTTGTTTGTTTTTGTTTTTTTAATTCAAGAGATTTCACTCCGTCACCCAGGCTGGAGTGCAGAAGAGGCACAATCCTAGTTCACTGCAGCCTCAAACTTCTGGGTTCAAGCAATCCTCCTACCTCAGCCTCCCAATTAGCTGGGATTACAGGTGTGAGCTACTGTGCCTGGCTGCTTTTTAAATTTTTATTTCCAAATGTTTGTTCCTAGTATATGAAAGTACAATTATGTTTATATATTGACCTTTTATCCTGCAACCTTGCTAAATTTATATGTTACTTCTAGTATCTTTTTATAAATTCCATTAGATTTTCTGCATAGACAATTATGTCGTTCATTTGAGAATACAGACAATGTGTTAATTCTTCATCTAGCTTTCTTTCAATCAAGAAAGAAAGGCTAGGTGCCTCTCTAGTTTTCTTTGATTAGTGTTAGCATGGTATACTGTTTTTCATCTGTTTACTTTTAACCTATTTTAGTTTTTATATTCAGAGTATACTTATTATAGATGGCATATACTTTTTTTAATCCAATCTAGAAAGATCTTTCTTTTAAGGAGCTGTTTAGGCCATTTAAATTTAATGTGATTATTGATATAGTTAGGTATAAGTCTATTATCCTACAATTTGCTTCATATTTTTCCAGTCGCTTCTTTGTTCCACTTTACTTCATTTTCTGTCTTCTTTGGATTGATAAATTTTTTATGAATCCAATGTATCTCCTTTGTTGGCATATTGCTATAACTGTTTGTTATTGTTTTAGTCTTTGCTTTAGAATTTATAGTGCATATTTTAAACTTATTACAGACTACCTTCAAGCAATAGTATACAACTCTATACATAACGTAAGAGCCCTAAAAAAGTATACTTTCATTTCATCCCTTCTGGCATTTATGTGATTATTGTCATATATTGTATTTATATATATGTTATAAATGCTACAATACGTTATTTTTATTTTTATTTTTTGAGACAGGGTCTCACTCTGTCACCCAGGCTGGAGTGCAGTGGTGTGATCACAGCTCACTGCAACCTCCACCTCCCAAGTTCAAGTGGTTCTCATGCCTCAGCCTGCCAAGTAGCTGGGATTATAGGCACACTCCACCACATCTGGCTAATTTTTGTATTTTTAGTAGAGACAGGGTTTTACCATGTTGGCCAGGCTGGTCTCAAACTCCTGGCCTCAAGTGATCTGCCTGCCTCAACCTCCCAAAGTGCTGGGATTACAGGCTTGAGCCAATGCAGTTGGCCTGCTTTTATTTTTATTTAAATAGTCAGTTATCTTTTAAAGCAATTCAAATGATAAGAAAAAAGTCTTCTATATTTACTCACTTGTTACCATTTCTGTTGCTCTACATCCCTCTGTACAGGTGCACATTTTTACCTAATATCATTTCCTTTAGACTTGAAGGATTTCCTTTAACATTTCTTATTATGTGAGTCTACTATTGATGAATTCTTTCAGATTTTGTATATCTGAATATATATTTCTAGAAAAATCATTTTGTTGAATATTGAATTCTAGGTTTATCGGGTTTTTGCTTTCAATACTTTAAAGACATTATTCCATTGTAATTTTTTCCAAAGAGTAATGCACTTTTTTCTTTGTTACTCTGTATATAATGTGTTTTTTTAATCTTGCTACTTTCATGATTTATTTTTTGTTGCTGATTTTGATTAATTCAATTATGGTGTTCCTTGATGTGATTTGTTTCAGTTTTCTTGTGTTTGAGGTTCATTGGGATTCTTGGATCTGTTGGTTTATAATTTTTACCAAATTTGGAAATAGTAGGCTATTGTTTTTTCAATTATTCTTCTTCTCCTATACCTTTGGGGATTTCAGTTATACATATATTAGACCACGTGAAGTTATCCCACATCTCACTGATGATCTTTGTATTTTTTAAAATTATTTTTCTCTGTGTTTCTTTTTAAATAGCTTCTGTTGCTATGTCTTCAACTTTATTAAACTTTTCATTTGCAATACATAATTTTATTAATCCTATCCAGCGTATTTTTAATCTCAGCTATTGTAGTTTTCATCTTTAGAAGTTTGAGACTTTTTATATTTTCCATGTCTCAACTTTCTGAATATATGGAATATCATTATAATGACTTTTCAATGTAGTGCTCTGCCAATTTTATCATTTGTGTCCATTCTTATTTCATTTCAGTTGATTGCTTTGTCTCTTCACTATGGTTCATACTTTCCTGGGTTTTTGTTTTGTTTTGTTTTTATTTGTTTGTTTTTGTTTTGCATGCCTGGTAATCTGTGATCGAATGCCAGATATTGTGAATTTGACCCTGCTGGGTACTGGATATTTTTGTAATCCTGTAAATATTCTTGAGTTTTGTTCTGGGGAGCAGTGACATTACCTGAAAATATTTTGATCTTTCAAGGTCTCTAATCCATTTGATTAATTCTCTTCCTGGCCTTGAATAGTTTCCTCACATACATTCTTTGATCAGATTCAGCCGAATCCCAGAGGAAGGCTTTCTGAAGATCACTGCACCTCTCTCTCATCTCACAAATTCTGTCCTGAGAACTCCAGTTACCTCGATCTCCCCAGAGTCGGTTTCATCTCCTCAACTCAGAGGTTTGTCAGGCTCCACCTCAGTTTCCCCTCCCTGCAGTGCAACCTAGAAACTCTCTCAAAGCAGTAAGCTGGGGGCGATCATAAGGTTCACTTTATTTTCCATCTTCCAGAGATCATTGTTCTTGCTTGGTGTTTGGTGTCTTGCAAGCCATGGTTTCAAATATTTTGTCTGGTTTGTTCTGGTTTAGCCTGGGTATTGGCATTGGTTTTAACTGTTTCAGGCAAGAGCATAAATTAAGTCCCTTTACTCCACTTTGGCCAGAAACAGAAGTCCTCAATTTAATTTGTAACCTATTTTAAAACTAGTCTACATTTTCTTTTGAAAAACTTTATATATTTATATGTCTCAGCATTTTAAACAGTAATTTAAAGCTTAATGGTACAAATATCACATGGGAGAAATAAAGACCCCTGGTTTCAAAGAAAAACACAAAAGCTCAGAGGTTAAATGATTTAGTGTTTGCCTGTGACCGTAATGCAAACCCCTGCAAAAAAATTTTACATGACCATGCAGGGGTCTCTTTTCTTAGTTAAGGATGACTGTACCCTAAACTGTAAAATAATTGAGTTTATGGAAGATACAATAAATAGGAATAACTGAATAACTGTTTTGTTTTGTTTTTTTTTTTTTTTTGGAGACAGAGTCTCACTCTGTCACCCAGGCTGGAGTGCAGTGGTGCGATCTTGGCTCACTCCAACCTCTGCCTCCCAGGTTCAAGCAATTCTCCTGCCTTAGCCTCCAGAGTAGCTGGGACTACAGGCACTCACCACCACACTCAGCTAATTTTTTGTATTTTTTGGTAGAGATGGGGTTTCATCATGTTACCCAGGCTGATCTCGTCCTGAGCTCAGGCAGTCTGCCCACCTCGGCCTCCTAAAGTGCTAGTATTACAGGCATGAGCCACCGGGCTGGTTGGGAATCACTTCTTAAATACTTATTTGGAATGATCGTACCCAACAGACCAAAGTAAAGGTATGAATTCCCTAAAACATTGCTTTAATTGATGATACTTATTGGAGTTGATAAAAACATAGCCTACAAAACCATTTGTAAAATATTATTATCTGAAGCCTTCCTCACTTCAATTTATGAAATACATTGATAAAATGTTACAGTCAAATTTTGGCAAATTGAGAGTGCTCTCAATTTTAATGATTCATATTGCTAATTTGATGTTACCATTTCATAAGTGAAGATATGACATTATAGTATACAACCATGCATAACTTTTGAATAGAACTTTGTCCTGACCTAAAAGAAAAGGTGTAATAATGATAGAAAGTGCCATAAAGCTAATCTCCAAACCCCACAATCACACATTCAACAATAAGGTATCCCCTATCCATGTAAAATAAAATATTAACATAGGTAAATACCAGAGACACAAAACAAATCCAAGAGTAGATCCAGGTTTGCTGGAACCTAAAATGTATAGAATTTGAAGGTTTCCCTTAAGGAACACAATACCAAATTTCAAATATGTAACTCTGACAAAAAGGAAGTCAACACAGTATTCCTGAAAGGGTTCCAGTCCTGGAAGGCTGAGTTACCCTCAAAAGCAACTATAAACCACATCAATACATCATACTCAACCCAAAGAAAACGTAGCTCCAACTCAAGTCTCCCTGAGACGAAAAGTACAAAATATGTCTATGGCCACACCAGTGCCACCTGATGCAAGGAAAACTGTGCAGGAAGGCAAATGGGAATGGAAAGACATTCAATATTAATCTATTGCAGTTAATATACCTTGCCTTTGCAGGTGTTACAGAACCATATGACCTCGTGCATATATTGTCAGGCCCTGGGGTCCCTGAGGTAATGCTTCATTAGCTTTCTCCTAACCCCACCTATGAGAAAAAGAAGGGAGGAGACTTCATGGAAGTACAGACTGACACAACTTAAAATCATCATCTCTCTTCAAACAAGTAACTTTATTATTTATTTATTTATTTTAATTTTTTTTTTTTTTGAGACAGGGTCTTGCTGTGTCACCCAGGCTGGAGTACAGTGGCACAATCTTGGCTCATTGCAACCTCCATCTCCCAGGCTCAAGTGATCCTCCTGCTTCAGCCTCCCAAGTAGTTGGGACTACAGGCGCATGTGACTGCACCTGGCTAATTTTTGTATTTTTTGGTAGAGATGGGGTTTCAGCCATGTTGCCCAGGCTGGTCTCAAACTCCTGACTTCAAGTGATCTACCTGCCTCAGCGTCCCAAAATGCTGGGATTACAGGCGTGAGCCACCACACCCAGCCCTATTTATTTATTTTTGAGACAGGGTTTCACTATGTCCCCCAGGCTGGAGTGCAGTGGCACAGTTACAGCTCATTGCAGCCTTCACGTTCTGGGTCAAGCGATCCTCCTGCCTCAGCCTCCAGAGTAGCTGTTACTACAGGTGTGCACCACCATACCCAGCCAATTTTTAATTTTTTGTAGAGGTAGGGTCTCACTATATTGCCCAGGCTGGCCTTGAACTCCTGGGCTCAAGTGATCCTTCCACTTTGGTCTCCCAAAGTGTTGAGATCACAGGTGTGAGCCACCAGGCCAGGTCTAAACAAGTAACTTTAAAAAACCTCAACATTGGGCACTCATGGGGATCTTGCCTTTAATACATCCCTAAACAGAGAAAGTTCAAAGGCCATTGGGTACATGTCTACCTATAGGTTTTATTTAACCAGGAACATAAAAAGGAAGGTTAAAGGAAACAAGTGGGTGAAAAATGGGGAGATGGACTAGAAATGTCATCTAGATATGTGGTCCTGCTAGCACAGAGATTTACAAAATGCCCAGGATCCCAGGTCTACCTGGACCTCTTAGCTCCATCCACTGACTCAGTCACTGACCACCTAAACAGTTGCTATAGAGACCGCCTAAGGTTCCCATGGATGGGTGCCGTTGACTAAACATCCTGGGAATCTCAGACAAAAGGTAGCAACCCTATCCCATGCCTGGATTAATAGCTGGGCACGGAACATTTTTTCCATCCTCAGCTATTCTGTTCTTGTCTAAATCAATTTGCTATGCCATTATGTTACAGAATGTATTCATACAGCAATTTTTGCTAACTTACTTCTTGCCCTTCCATACGCAGTAACAAACAGAGAGAAGTCCATCCACCATGAACCTAGCCTGAGGAGCATTGCATTCTCTGGTCACAAGTCTTCATATTTTTTTTAGAACACTGCAGCGCGTTTGTAAAGAGACACTAAATTAAAAACAAATATGTTCCTGTGCATACACACACACTCTCACGCACACTCAAACACACACTCACTTACACACACTCACACACGTACACATACACACACTCACACGTACACACATACACACTCACACACACACATACACATACACACTCACATATACACACATACACACATACACGCATACACACACTCACATATACACACATACACACTCACTATACACATACACACATACACACTCATATACACACATACACACATACACTCACATATACACACATACACACTTACATATACACACATACACACACTCACACACATACACACTCACACACTCACACACATACACATACACTCACAGACATACATACACACATACACACTCATACACACATACACACTCACATATACACATACACACATACACACTCATATACACACACTCACGTGTACACAATACACACATACACACTCACATACACACATACACACTCATACACACACATATACATACACACATATGCGTGCACACATATATACACACATACACACACACACACACACGGCAATCCTGTAGTGCCCCACATTTCTATATAGTAAATGCTAAAGAGAAAAGCCTATGTCAAATATAATTTCCTCTGGAGATATTGGAAATCCCAGGACATTCTCCAAGATGGTGTTTCTTGGTGTCTTTCCCACAAAGAAATATTAAACTAATGGCGTGGATTACACCTTCGGTGAAAGGTGAAACTGAACACCAAGGCAGCCCCTGGAGGATTAGGTTTTGATTTCTGACACCACCTGTTAGTGTAAGAATCGTAACCGCTGAGAGCACAAAATGGCTCAGAGGCGGGACTGCTAGTAAAGTTCACAAGTGACCCTGTCAGTTTTTAATTTCAGTCATTTTGCTAGGCTGACAAGGTAAAAGGACTTTAGTAAAAGGGCATCCAGTGCCACGACTGTAGATTTGTTGAATCAGGGTCATACAGTTCACAAAAGGAAAGGAGCCCTGGGGCCATCTGTTTATATTGACCATTTCTCTACATTTCTGAGTCAGCAACAAGCAGGCAATTGCATCATCTGCCCTCCAAATAACCACTGTCACCCCAAGCACACACTTCATCCCGAAAATGTTTCATTTTTTTCCCCTTTGTGTAAAGAATCTTTGAAGTAGCCAGAAGAAGCATGGTATTTTATTTAATATTCACATAGTAGCTTGTGATTATTATAATACATTTAATTAGTCAATTCTTCATCAGCCTACTTATTTGACATCTTGTTGAAACAAGAAGTGGTTTACAAGGTGAAAAGGAAAGAGTATGGCTTTCAGATTCAGATGACAGTAGTTCCCAACGCTGAACCCTCAATTTGAAGATTCTGTAATTTTGGAAAAGCTTCTTATTCTAAGTATCAGTTACTTTTTCTCTAAATAGAAATAATACCTCTGGTGGAGATTTGTTGGGAGGATTAAATAAATATTATCCATATATCTGGCAAATAATAAGTAGACAATAGATATTTCCATTTCACAGTTCCTATGGCAGTTTGTGTGTGTGTGTGTGTGTGTGTGTGTGTGTGTATGCAGGATTATTTTGTGTGACTAATGACAAAATTCCCTAAGTTTTCAGCAAAGGTCTCAAATAATTCTTTCCATGAAAGCCTCTTATCGAGGCATTAAAATGATTGATTCTGGGAATATTTAATTTTATTATTCTTAAAAGAGCTCTGTAATATGAAGTAGCTTATTTATGGAACCAAAAGGTCTTCTTCTTTTTAACTGAATTCCCTATTAGATTTCCACGTTTTGCTTGGGACTGTTAGGTTGGGCAAATAAAATGTAGTGGAAATTAATGGGACAAATTGGAATTCGGCAAAGTTTATTTGGCTTCGCTCTGTTCAAACTTACCACACAAAATCCTTCACGTCTTTTAACTCCCTTGTGGGTGATCTTTCTCCCAAATAACCCTAGCTTTCTGCATTCAATTAATCCACAAGTATTTATTAAAGACTTCCACTGAGACTGTGCCATACTAAACACTATGGGGTATGCAAGAAAAATAAATGATGACAGATTATATAGTACTTAGTGGTTCACAAACCACAAGTAGAACCTGTCTCCTTACCTCTTAGTTTCACCTTGAAAAAAAATTTCCACACTCTAGGAACTTGAAATCCAGAAAAATAAGATTATCTCACCTTAATCAATTAGCAAGCAATTGATGCTTATCTATTTCTTAAGTCGTGTGACCTAAACTTTCTTAAATAGTTGGCCAGAAATGGGATATATCACTAGGGGTTGGGTCACCAGGAGTTACATCATGGAAATGTTTGCATTTTAGGTGGATGTTAAAGGCAAGGAGAAAAAAAGAGCGGCTGTGAAATAGTGAAAGTATGTGACTTGTGGGCAGAGTGGATCACCAGATATTTATAAGGAGCCAGATGATTAATTTGGGATCAGGGAGGAGAAGGTACGGCTAGAGACACTGCCTTTAGCTAGATGAGAAAAGCTTGAATACAAGGCTGGGCTTTATGCTATTTCATTCTGTAAGCCATTATGGTGTCAGTTAGGGGAAAGAGGATTGGAAGCAAGAGGGTTAGAAGAAAATAGTAAACCCAATAAGATCAGATTCAATAAAGAAATTTTAATTTGTTTCTCGAGGGTTCACCTCTTGCCTTGTTTTTCCATTAATTTACCCACTGTCTTCCCCACTCAAATAACTGTTTCACTTAACTGTCCTCTTCATTCAGTTTGGTTCAGTTCATATACTTTTTGACCACCTATGATGTGCTAAACACAGTCCTAAAGAAACAAAAAGTGAGAATCAATCCACTCTCTCAAGGAGCTTACAGTGTAGCCCAGAAGACATTTTCTGACCTGAGACCTGAGACGTTTTCTGGGTGTCCTCAAGGTCATGATTTTGCCATAAACCCTGATAGCACAAAAGCAGGGGTGGGTACAACTGCTGGCACCTGAGCACCCATGGCGGCAGTATCACCCAACTGCACTGGTTGTCATATTCTTTTGTCAGGCAATGGCAGAAACAAAAATTGCCAATTTCACTTAAGAACGTTCTCCATACAGCGGTAAAAATTCTTAACCATATTAAATTTTAACCTTTGAGTAGATGTCTCTTTTTAATAATAATAATAAATGAGGTGAAGTCTCACTGTGTTGCCTAGGCTGGTCTTGAACTCTTGGACTCAAGGGATGCTCCCACCTCTTCAGCCTCTTAAGTAGCTGGGACCACAGGCGTGCTCCAGGGACTCAGATGTCTTTTTGATACTTCCTGTGACTCACTGCATAAAGCACTTCTGCTGCACACGGAAACACCGTGACTGTTTCAAGATAAAGGCGCCTGTGCCATTGTTTGAGTTGAACATATCGAGGCACCACTGAACACCATGTTTCACAGAACATTTTAATTAAAATGCCAGACTACAGTTAGTCCAATATGAGCATTTGGGAGAAATGTTCTCAAAATTTAACAAAATGAAGCTATCACTTTGAGAAACGCAACTGACAGTATTTGCAAATAAAAAAATTTAACTTTTTAGGAAAACACTAGAATTTTGGAAATATTTATTTGCCACCAGTAATTTGTCAGCTTGTAAATACTTAAAGACTTTTTGGCCAGGCGCAGTGGCTTAGGCCTGTAATCCCAGGACTTTGGGAGGCCGAGATGGGTGGATCACCTAAGGTCAGGAGTTCAAGACCAGCCTGGTCAACATGGCGAAATCCCATCTCTACTAAAAATACAAAAATTAGCCGGACCTGATGGCGGGTGCTTGTAATCCCAACTACTTGGGAGGCTGAGGCAGGAGAATTTCTTGAACCCAGGAGGCAAATGTTGCAATGAGCCAAGATTTCTCCATTGTCCTCCACACTGGGTGACAGAGCAAGACTCTGTCTCAAAAAAAAAAAAAAAAAAAAAGACTTTTTGATGAGATTGGCGGTGATACTAATGACCGATTTTTAAAAAGTATGTATTGTACAATAGATGTGTCAACATACTGTACATCTGCACAATTCATTAAGCCAATGTATGAGGTTATAAAATCATGCTTAAGTAAAAGATCCAAGTGCACTGTAGACCAATGAATTTCAATGTAACAGAGTTCGAGAAATTCATTAATATAGTTTGAAATGTCACATTTTAACTAACCCTTAAAAAACTTTTTTATGTCAAATTTTGGTATACTAACAAAGAATACCCACAATAATTACGTAGAAAGGGACAATCATAATCTGTATGTGGGAGGCCACATTTTCTTTGTATACTTCAACCAAAATAACAACACAACAGGTTAAATACAGAGACAGCGAGGGGAATCCAGATGTAAGAGATCTGCCAAAAGGTAAAAGAAAAAATACTACTCTTCTTACTTATATTTTTGTTGTTTTGGGAAATATAGTTTCTTTTCATAAAACAGGTAATGAGTTTATTATCATTATTTTAAAATAAATAAATAAATATTTAAAATTGTTTTCAGTTTTCATTCCCAATATGATAGATATAACCAACAGAAACTAAAGTTCTCTGAGGTTCTTATCAATTTTTTAAGGGCAAAATGGATTCTGACACCAACAAGTTTGAGAACTGCTGGTCTAACCAATCACAGGGCGTCCAGGGAAGGCTTTTCCCACATTTCAGGTGCTCCTTTTACCCTCTGATTAATAGAAATCAGTGAAGCTCACTAATTATCAGGGTGCAGCTATTACTCAGAACTTGCTAAGCTTCCTCCGTCTGCCATTTTTATGTCATGTATTTCCCTTTCCATTCTATTTATTTAATTTCATTTTTCCATTAATTTAATTAATTAATTTCAATGTCATATATGCTTTGCAGGCTTTTTTCTTTTCAATATTTAAAAAAAATTCATCAAAATTGTTTTCGCATAGTTTTGAGGCAAATTTTCTACAGAACTTGACAAAGAAATTGGATCTCTCTCAGCTGCCAAACCACCCTCAAATTTTCAGCCCCCAAAGGCAATTACTATCAAAGTTTCCAGCTGATTCTTCGGTTATCTTCCTCTATCTCTTTCCATAACACACTTATGTTATGAAGTCTTAATTTTCCAATCGTTAGCATGCTATCTACTCACTCCCCACGTGGAAGATGAGAATTGAGCTCCTTTCACTTCCTGGTCCCTAAACCAGCCCTCTCCTTGTCCAAACACTCCTCATTTCCTCATTCTCCCCAAACCAACATTTCAATTAGATAAAATTTAACTGCATACATTATTATATATGTATGCATGATTCACAATAAAACCATGTTGCACAGTTAGCAATTTTTCTTTCTCATTTGTTTTGTTTTCTCTAGATTAGTAATTTTCATTTTCTTTCTACTTACCTTTTTTTCAGCCTCAAACTTTTCTTTACCTGCATAATCTGCTGGTGATATTGTAATCACATTAGCTGTTCTCTTATTTTCATCTTGCTGAGGTAGTCACCCTGTCTGGGTGGTTGCTCTCCAGGCAGCTCGGTGGTAGCCATCTTGGATCTCTTCACCAGGACTCACCCTCTGTTGCTGACCCCTTGTCCTTCTCTTTTTTGTTTTTTTCCTTAGTTTGATGAGACACACTCTAGTAGCTTCCCCAAAAAGGGTACATGGAAGATTAAACTTCCCAAAATGTATATGCCTAAAAATATATGGATTAATAGATTGTAAATGAATAAACAAAAAAATAGATTCATTATTTGGAAGATAATTTCCATTTGAAAATCATTTTACTTCAGAAATTTAAAGTCCTTGCTCTGTAGTCTTCTGCTTTCAGGATGGCTGTTGAGAGGACCAATGCTGTTTTCATTCTTGGTTCTTTGTACAAAAACTATTTTGGTGGTTGTTTTCTTTTTCAGGAGAATTTTGGGTTCTTCTCCTTGACCACACTACTGAAAATTAGTGTGCTTTGGGAATGTATTTCAGTTTACTGTCTGGATATTGGTGAATTCTTCAGCGCCTAAACATTTTCCTTAATTATTTTGTTTAATGATTTCTTCCCTGCTGGTTTCTCAGGTCTCTCTTCCCGTGATTCGTTTTATTTATTTTTTATGTATTTTATTTTATCTTAATTTTTATATTTATTTTATGTTTTTTTTTTATGGAGACAGAGTCTTACTGTCACCCAGGCTGGAGTGCAGTGGTGTGATCTTGGCTCACTGCAACCTCTGCCTCCTGGGGTCAAGCAATTCTCCTACCTCAGCCTCCTGAGTAGCTGTGACTACAGGGGCACACCGCCACACCCGGCTAATTTTTTGTGTTTTAGTAGAGACGGGGTTTCACCATGTTATCCAGGCTGGTCTCGAACTTCTGAGCTCAGGCAATCCACCCACCTTGGCCTCCCAAAGTGCTAGGATTACAGCCTGAGCCACCACGCCCAGACATCCCATGATTCTTTTAATCAGATATTCGACCTTTCGCAGTGGTCCCTTACTTTTAAAAAAAGCATTTTTCTCCTGTTTTGCATTTTTGTCATTTTGTTTTTAGTTTGTGGAGATTTCTTCAAGTTTATCTTCCAATTTCTGTCATTTTTTATTCCTTGCTGTTTTATTTTTTAATTTCAAAGCGCTGTTTCTTATTCTCTGAATAATGCTTTCTTAGTATCGTCTTCTTTTTTCTCGTAGGAATAATGCCTTTCTTATCTCTTATGAGATTTTGAAGTTTTTTTCTGCCTCAATATTTCTCTTTTCTTTTAGTTGTTTTGCCTTTTGGTTAGCTTGCTTGGGGCTTTGTCTCTAATCTTAGAGGATTTCCTCAGATGTTTTGCTGATTGATGCCTGGTAGTTTGTGGGTTGTATTCAAAATTAGAGCACTCAAAAACTTACTTGAAGGGCAAGACTAATAAGTAGACTTCCTGATTGTGGAATGCACTGCAGAGTGATCTAATTTGGCTCTTTATTTGGAAGGCTCCAAAGCCAGTATCATTAGGCCTTTTTATTCCCTGATGGTGCTAATAGATTTCCCAAAGAAGGCTCATCCTCTGCCTAGCTGCAGAGTTCTGGGGGCTGAGCTGGGGAGGAAGTCTGGGGATTTCACTCTTCGAACATTTGCTCAATTACCTTAGCACATGGCCTCCCTTTTAACTGGTGTCCTGTGTTCCACTGTGCCCGGCGTAAGTGAATATTCTTTATAAAGCTACTTGAGGGTATTGGAATCTAATAACAGAGAGAAATGGAGTTTGATAATAAATGATGGCTAACATCAATCTCTCATTATTTTCAGTATTTATTGAGTACACATTATTAGGATATGCTCTACTAGAAACTCTTAAAACCTGTAAAGAGGTGTTGGAAAGCTAATTTTTGTCATACCTTAGAAAAATAAATTCAAAAGGGAAAATAAGAGCCAAAGGCTATTAAATCAAAGGTGACTAAAATATCCTGGCAATTAAAATCTGCCTACTCTGTGGGAATTATGAATTGACTGCAGTTTTTGCATCTGTTTGCAATCATGCTATTCTCCAAGGATAGCTGGGGTGAGTGGCTAATGGATAACATACTTTAAATATCTTTCCAGTACAAATTTTTTAAACTCTCAAATTATTGAAGGTACATTTTTCACTTATCTCTTGATCTCTGATAAATTTCTCTTAACTGTATCATCTACATCCAAAATATGCACGATACCAGCATTCCCCAGTGTGAACACTCAGTACTAGTTAATGCACAATTTTCATTTTGATCTTCAGAGACAGCAAGAGGGCACACCGAACACTGCTATACTTTCATTGTATCTGATTTGGCTCTGACTTTGTCCTAAACATTTTTACTTTTTTACAAATATTTGAATTATTTACACCAATTTTAGAAACCAAATCTACTCATTCATTTCCACATTGCCAATAATCGTAGCTAATGCTTTTTGGCCTTATGCTTTGTGCCAGGCCCTGTGCTAAATGTTTTATGCATATTAACTATATTCAACCCTCACAGCAATCCAGCATTACAGATGTCAAAACCAAAGCCAAGGAGGCAGAATAACTTCCTCAAGGTCATTTAATTAGTCAGTAATAAAAGCAGGACTTAAACTGCCCCCAACCCTTCATTCTTCAATATTACAAAATAAGGCCTCCCAGAATATGGTCACAATTCTTTTTTCTTTCTTTCTTTCTTTCTTTCTTTTTTTTGAGATGGAGTTTCTCTCTTGTTGCCCAGGCTGGAGTCCAATGGTACGATCTCAGCTCACTGCAACCCATGCCTCCCGGGTTCAAGTGATTCTCTTGTCTCAGCCTCCTGAGTAGCTGGGATTACAGGCATCTGCCACTATGCCCTGCTAATTTTTGGTATTTTTAATAGAGACAGGGTTTCACCATGTTGGCCAGGCTGGTCTCGAACTCCTAAGCTCAGGTGATCCTCCCGCCTCAACCTCCCAAAGTGCTGGAATTACAGGCGTGAGCCACCGCACCCACCCACAATTCTTAAATTACAATAGAATCTTAACATTAGCATAACTAATGGGGAGAAGTAGAGGAAAAGGCACAAGAAATGCCAACTGAAATTCCAAAGAAGGAAAACATGTTGTAATTATTGGAATGAGATAAAAACTGTTAAGCATACATGAAAACCATTGTGCAAATTGTGAAATTTAATCTCAGTTCTGTTTATTTTGTGACAATGTAAAAATCACAATTTTAAAATAACGATTTAATAATTGCTGGTACTCTGCCTGTGAAAATGTGTTTGTTCATGTCAACACCTACTTATGAAAAAACATTGCTTACTTGGATAAATTCAACTGGGTTTGGAAGCTACAGTTATTACAACCAAATAATGTAGGCTCCACCAAAAAATATGTATATACATATTATTTCTAGGACTATTTGGGCAACATAGTGAGACCTCATCTTTTTTTTTTTTTTTCGAGACGGAGTTTCTTTCTTGTCACCCAGGCTGGAGTGCAGTGGCGGGGTCTCAGCTCACTGCAACCTCTACCTCCCAGGTTCAAGCTATTCTCGTGCCTCAGCCTCCCGAGTAGCTGGGATTACCGGCTCCCGCTACCACACCCGGCTAATTTTTGTATTTTTAGTAGAGATGGGGCTTCACCATGTTGGCCAGGCTGGTCTCTAACTCCTGAGCTCAGGTGATCTGCCTGCCTCGGCCTCCCAAAGTGCTGGGATTACAGGTGTGAGCCACCACAACTGGCCTAGAGACCTCGTCTTTACTAATAAATAAATAATAAAAGAGGAAAACAGAATGATGCAGAGTGGAAGGCAATACCCTAATGCAGGTAGCATCCAAGTCCGGAGTTGATGATCCAAGCAACCCCAGAAGCTAGAGGCTTTGCTGAGGTCACAGAATGCCAACAAGCCCCTCAACCACTCACAGCTGATTGCTCACTCTTGACTAGAGATTTCATTCATACATACCTAGGATTTACTTTTCACCTTCACTTTTTTATTCTTGGTCTGTGTATTCTAAATCAGATTCTCATTCTCCATAAGAAGTGTGGAGTATTTTCCATGGAACTTTATGAGGAGAATTAAGATAACCAAAGTCTGTAAAGATAAGAGTTCAGATGTTATCCATTGAGGAATATGAATTCTGCTTTGGATTATTTATACATGCATGCACAGGATTTCATTATATTTCTCCATGTATGTTTCATTTCAATTGGTCTCAGAAGTGTTCGTTATATAAATAAGCCATGGCAAGCTTAAGACCTCACACTGCATTAAACATGAAGTGTTAACTGTTTAAAGTGTGTGAGCTTCTCTATGATTGTTAATGGGATTTTGTGCCTAATTAAATGTGGAGACCTGTCATATTGTGTCAACATCCATATTTCATGCTGAGTTGAGATTTTTACGCATCTGACAATTGATGAGTATGTAGGGACCATGAGTGAGGATATCAAAAGAAATTTGTATAACTTGACTCTTAGGGAGTGAGGAAATGGCAATAAAAATTGCATGTATTATTTGCCCTATGATCTTGAAAACTGAACATAGCTCAAATGCAAGAGAATCAGAGAATAGCTTAGCTTTCCACACTCAGACTAGCTTCCCCTTGTAAGCAATAGAATGATAAGGCTGGAAATACCTTTCTTCTGCTCATGCTAACGCTCTCGATAAAACCCGTTGACTTTGCATAGCTTCACCCGATGTCTGAAAAGACCAGCTGTCTCACTTTTAATTCTGGGTTTTCTTTCAAAGTCTTCGTGATTTCTGATAGAATTCTGATGTCCCTGATCAAAGCATGCTGAGATCAGTTTGCCATATACAATTTCCAATACAGAGTTTCTGCCAGAAATACCACTGAATTCCTTTCTTAAAAAGATATTTTCCTGGTACTTCAGGCAAGTAATGTAAAAGAAAGGGGATGAAAGGCTTAAAATGAGATTAAGAGCCTTCAGATATTTAAGATGTGATCAACTACTCTTAATATTTATGGAACACTACACAAGAGAAGAAGAGCTTAATAATTAGAAAGAATGTTTTAATGTTTTATCACCTTACAGCATGTTTCAAAAACTTTCAAGTACAGCATCTTCTAAGATGCATCCCCGCACCAAAATCGGTTAGAAGGACATTATCATTCTGCATTTATACCTAATGAATCTGAGGTTCAGAAAGGCTGAGTCTTGCATTCGCCTCTAGACAGCAGGTCTGCAAGACCAGATCTCCTGACACCTGCCCTAAAGCTTTTCTTGCTCCAGCAAAAACTGCCTTTCAATTTAAAACGATTTTAGAGATAGGGTCTTGCTCTGCTGGAGTGCAGTGGCCCGATCACAGCTCGCTGTAATCTCAAACTCTTGGGCTCAGGCGGTCCTCCCATCTCAGCTTCCCAAGCAGCTAGGACTGTAGCATATACCACCATGGCTGGCTAATTTTTACTTGTTTACTTTTTAATTTTTTTGTACAGACCACATCACTCTATGTTGTCCAGGCTGGTCTCAAACTCCTGGCCTTAAGCGACCCCCCCACCTCAGCCTCCCAAAGCACTGGGATTACAGGCACAAGCCTCCGTGCCCAGCCAAAACTGTCTTTCTATATAGGGAAATGTGTTTTTTAGAAAATGAAAGCTCCCTAAAAACTGGATATGACTTTCAAAGAAAACAATAAGAAATTCCTTTAGTTGAGTGTCTTTGATTTAGCTGATTACTGAAGGCAGAGGACTGAATTTGGTATCATCTCACCATCACTTATACCCAAGGATCGTAATATTACTGCTACAAGAAAAATCTGTGTTCTCTATGGAAGGTCATCCAGTATATGAAGTATGTAGAGTAAGAGAAATTTATGAGAGACACTGTGGTTCAATGGAGAATGTTGGCTTCATAGTCCTGGGCTATTCACTAAAATTAGGTGTAATCTTAGATACACCCTCTTATTTGCAGAATTTACACTCCCTTTCTATAAAATTTGTAAGGAAGGTTGGCATAATCTCTAGGATCCCTTCTTTCTTGAAGAAACTATGACTTTCTGAGGTTCCTCCTCCCTTCTCCATTAATTCAACACATTTTTGTCCTCAATATCCTCACTGAAAGCCAGCCTCAGCATTTAAGAAGGCAAAAAGAAAGAAAATAAACAGAAGATCTTATTTCTGTGAGGTTTTTCATTCTTATTTGTGCTTACATTTTAAGTGTACCTCATTCAATAGTTCATTTAGAAAATAGGTAAACTAAAAAAAAAAAAAGTAAACTAGACCAGGCATGGTGGCTCATGCCTGAAGTCTCGGCACTTTGGGAGGCCAAGGTCAGGAGTTAGAGACCAGCCTGGCCAACATGTGAAACCCCGTCTCTACTACAAATACAAAAATTAGCCCAGTGTGGTGGCATGTGCCTGTAGTCCCAGCTACTCAGGAGGCTGAGGCAGGAGAACTGCTTGAACCCAGGAGGCGAAAGTTGCAGTGGGCCGAGATTGCGCCATTGCACATCAGCCTGGGTGACAGAGCAAGACTCCATCTCAAAAAAATAAAAACAAAACAAAAAAAAACACAAGGTAAACCTATTATACTGAAAATGCGTAGTTTTCACTGAACTCAGTTTCCATGCAAATCAATTTTTGTTTTCAGATGTCAGGGCTTTGAGATCCACAGTCATTCCATTCCCAAGAACCAGTGTTTCATCTTACTTTGAACCCTCATGGAGAAGATCCAAGTGCAGAGGCTATTTCAGTACTCAAGTAGACTCTGTGCTTGGATCAGCTCCACAGAAAGCATGGGGAAGATGAGAAACCAGCTCAATTTCAGAATAAAACAGTATAAATCAAATTTAAGAACATCCAGAGATATTTAGCCCAGGATAGAAAACTTTAAATGAGTTCTTTTAGGCCATAAAAGATTCTTTTTTCAAAATTATTCCTTTTAATTCCAAGTTTCCATCCTAACTGGTCTTCATGATTTTGCTACAGTAATTGCAATCTGTCTAAATAACGAAGGGTGTATTTTAAAGGATGTAGGCTGAGGATGTTTGACAATGTCCATTTGATTGGATATGTCAGCACAATATTTGCTTTTGATCATTCGTAATAGCAATATTCAATGAAAGACATTTTGAATTAGTCAACTTGTAACAAAAATATTTACATCTTTTCAGACTGTCTCAACAGCTCAGTAGCCAATGTGAATATAGAAAAGGAAATGTCATTATAAAGCAAAAAATCAGAGTCTAAATTGACTACTGAAGATACTTAGTAGAGTTCTATTTCCACCTGTCATTTTTAATGCAAAACAACTGATGCTACATTGTGTCCTATTCAGTTTCCCCACTACTCCCCAAGTACCCCGGCACAGAATCTGATCATTTTACCTTTTGTTATGCTATCCTCCATCCTGGGTCACACTCACATTCACTGAGTCTTCTGAGCATTGTTGGAGAAAAGCAGGACATTGTGCCAGGAGTTTGTTTGTTTGTTTGTTTGTTTGTTTTAACAAATCATTAATCTGTAAATCCGCCTGAGTTAATTGGGGGTTTCGGCAAATGGCTAGTTCCCCTAGTAATCAGTGCCCCTGGCTGGGCGCGGTGGCTCACACCTGTAATCCCAGCACTTTGGGAGGCCGAGGCGGGTGGATCACCTGAGGTGGGGAGTTTGAGACCAGCCTTACCAACATGGAGAAACTCCGTCTCCACTAAAAATACAAAATTGGCCGGGCATGGTGGCCCATGCTTGTAATCCCAGCTACTTGGGAGGCTATGGCAGGGGAATCGCTTGAACCCGGGAGGCGGGAGATTGTGGTGAGCAGAGATCCCGCCATTGCACTCCAGTCTGGGCAACAAGAGCGAAACTCCGTCTTAAAAAAAATAAAATAAATAAAAACAATCGGTGCCCCTGACATGGCATTCCCTCGAATAAATAATAGAAGCTTTTGACTTCTTCCTCCATCCTTTCTACTCCTATTTGCCTCATCCATGGTAGAAGCAGGTGCCGGAACCGGCTGAACAGTCTATGCCCCACCTCATGGCTCTAATTCATCCCTTAATCATTCCTTATCTTGCCTACAGAGTCTGTTCTAGGTGATTCCACTCCTGATGGCCACACTGCTTTTCATACATGGAGATCTGTACCTTCCCCTTTCTGCCTTGCCAACTCTGTGTGACACAGAGCCACATCTTTCTCACTGTCTCCAAGCACATCACCGTAGCTTCAGGGATCTCTCATTCTTCAGTGTTATCTCAGAGAAGAAGCTGTAGCTCCTCTTCTCCAAGACCAAGGCCTTTCCAGATGTCTCAGTTCTGTGGAACCCCACCTTCTTTTAAATTCTACACTTTCAGATGCACCGGTTTTTTTGTTGTGTCTTTAATATTTGATTCTGTATTGGGTTTTACCTTGTAAATCTGCTCAAACCTTCTATCTAAAAACAAAAAGTCCCTTTCCTTAGCTCTGCTGGGATTTATCTCTTTTTAGGTTAACCAATTAGTTGATGTATTATTTTTACCCTACTCCTGTTCTCTATCTGCACACTTTTTGCTTTCTTTCTTTTCTTTTTTTTTTTTTTGAGATGGAGTTTCTCTCTTGTTGCCCAGGCTAGAGTGTAATGGTGTGATCTTGGCTCACCGCAACCTCCGCCTCCCAGGTTCAAGCAATTCTCCTGCCTCGGCCTCTCGAATAGCTGGGATTAGAGGCATGTGCCACCACACCTGGCTAATTTTTGTATTTTTAGTAGAGATGGGGTTTCTCCATGTTGGCCGGGCTGGTTTTGAACTCCCGACCTCAGGTGATCCACCCGCCTTGGCCTCCCAAAGTGCTGGATTACAGGCATGATCCACCGAGCCTAGCCTTGCTTTACTTCTTAACAGTCTGATCTGACTTTGGGTGCTTCCTTGACTGGATCTGTTTTCAGTGGTTACCAATGACCTCTTAAATGTCAAACCCAGAGATCTTTTGTTCAGTCATTATTCTTCTGGATTACTCAGTAGCTTCTCCTAAAATCCGTTTCTTTATTTAGTTTCTAGGCTTCTACATGGACCTAGTTCTCTTTTTACCGTCAAGTTTTCTTTCTAACCAAGGTTGTTCGTTTTCCTTTTTTCTCCTTCATTCTTTCCTTCAACCTGAGCATTCATTATTCACAGCCTCCCTCACTTCCCTTTTATTTCTCCCTCAGGAATTTCATCTCTTTTCATGGCTCTAAAGAACACCTTTCCCAAATCTTTAGTCTCGAACTCACTCTTTATCTTTATCTGCAATTAGATACCTCTTACTAAAAGTCCTGTGGTTACTTCAGACTGTCAACATCTTAAACTGGACTCATATATTTTTAGCCAAAACCAGTTTATACTTTATAGATATAATTGAAAACATCATTGTTCCATCAACCCAAACCTAAAGATTTTGAACAAAGTCTTTCTGCACAAATGTAATACAATATATACTTAAGTATGATAAGAGGACTATGTGCAAAAGTTCTAAGGAATATGGTTGACTAAGAAATCTGAAGAATTGGAAAAGACATGGGGAGTTGTTTAAGAAGAAAATTTTAGAGTCTTGTAAGATTGAGCAGCCAAGATCCTATTTCTTTGCCTTTTATTTATTTATTTAATTATTATTATATTATTTTTCTGAGACAGAGTCTCACTCTATAGCCCAGGCTGGAGTGCAGTGGCACAATCTTGGCTCACTGCAATCTCCGCTTCCTGAGTTCAAGTGATTCTCCTGCCTCAGCCTCCCGAGTAGCTGGGATTACAGGCACATACCACCACGCCTGGCTAATTTTTTTTTTTTTTTTTTAAATTTTTAGTTGAGATGGGGTTTCACCATGTTGACCAGGTTGGTCTCGAACTCCTGAGCTCAGATGATCCACCCACCTTGGCCTCCCAAACCGTTGGGATTACAGGTGTGAGCCACCATGCCCAGCCGCGTCTTTCTTTACACTGATTTATCACTCCTACCTTCCTTTCTCTTTCTTCTCCCATCAGATAACATATTTAGTATTCTCTCATGCATTTACTTACTTATTCAATAGCTGGCTAGTCAGCATTTTCTCTGCTTGTGCCTGACTTCCTCTTCTGGGTGGTTTTTAACACATATATTAAGTGGAGAGATTTAGTTTTCTCCCAAGGGTATTTCTGTTCCCAGATTTCCCCCTAAACTACCATATTAATATTCTTAAGACACCTCTTCATGCACATCAGTGCTGTGCTAAGAAGCTTTTCATTTACAAGATCAAATCCAGGTTTCTTTGTCTGGCATTGGAGATTCTTAAAAGTTTGAATCTCCTCTTCTCCACCTCTACTCCCTCTTCACATCCATCTTTAGAACTTCCATTCATATCTATCTGTCTATCTATCTATCTATCTATCTATATATATATATATATATATTTTTTTTTTTTTTTTGAGATGGAGTCTCACTCTGTCGCCCAGGCTGGAGTGCAGCGGTGTGATTTCGGCTCACTGCAACCTCCACCTCCCGGGTTCAAGCGATTCTCCTGCCTCAGCCTCTTGAGTAGCTGGGACTACAGGCGCCCGCCACCACGCCTGGCTAATTTTTTGTATTTTTAGTAGAGACAGGGTTTCGCAGTGTTAGCCAGGATGGTCTTGATCTCCTGCCCTCGTGATCCGCCCACCTCGGCCTCCCAAAGCCCTGGGATTACAGGCATGAGGCACCGTGCCTGGCCTCCATTCATATTTTTACATCAAAAGACTCTTCTCCCATCTACTCCTTCTTTTGTAACTGGGCTATGTGCATTCAAGATTCCAAAGCATTCCTTCACCCTTCTTGCCAAGAATACCCTTCTCCATCTAGCATAGCCTTTACTGTAAATCCCTCCCTTCCTGTTAAGGCCAGGCCAGGCACCACATCCCTTATTAGGCCACCTACAATGTTCTCGGTCTTCAGTGTCTTCTCTCTTGTCTGAATTCCTGCAGCACTAATCGTCTATTCTCTTCCATTGGGAATTTGCATGTGATATCCCATGTTGCTATGTATTTTTATACATGTAAGCAAACATTCTTTTTTTTTTACTAAGTGATAAGCCCTTGAAGAACGAGTTACCTCTTCGTGTTACTGACATGTAAGATGCTAGCATTTAGTAAAGTTTAATACACTTGGCTGTTTTGACAACTCTTTCAATGAGATAAAAATTTCATTTTCTCTCTCATTCCCAAAAGATACCATGGACAGTGTTAACACATTGCAGTATATTTTTAAAACTCTGAAACTGATGTACATCTTTAAAATACAGATACAATTAGTATCATTTGCAATCTTCTCTGTAGTCCATACCTCTACAGAATTTAGTTCAATCTAACAACTACGTATAGATTGCTTGTTATGTGCAAAACTCTATGTAGGAACATGGCGGAGGCAGAGATAATATGATAAAGTCTTGCCCTTGAGGAGTGATGACCTTGTAGTGACATGCCCATGTTCCCATCCTCTAGTGCTGGGTGTGAGTGTAGCACTGGGTGTGAGTGGAGTTGTAAGACATACACAAAGTGGTTAATGCAAATGAATAAGCAACAAAATTTTCTTTCTTTGTTTTTTTTTTTTTTAGACTGAGTCTCCCTTACTCTGTCAACCAGGCTGGAGTGCAGTAGCGCGATCTTGGCTCACTGCAACCTCTGCCTCCCAGGTTTAAGAGATTCTCCTGCCTCAGCCTTCCAAGGATCTGGGATTATAGGCATGTGCCACCATGCCTGGCTAATTTTTGTTGTGTCTTTTAGTAGAGATGGGGTTTCACCATGTTGGCCAGGCTGCTCTTGAACTTCTAAGCTCAAGTGATCCGCCCGCCTCAGCTTCCCAAAGTGCTGGGATTACAGGCATGCGCCACCGTGCCTGGCCAGCAACAAATTCTGCTTAGAGAAATTGGAAGAGTCTGTGGAGAAATTGGCAAGAAAATTAACCGTTGTTAATTAATCCATTCTGTATTAAACATTATTTATTCATCCTTAAAATAATAACTAATCTGCATTACTTGGTTAATTAAACAACTTAGGTTTTTTGTTTCATTTTATGCAAAGCAGGGGTGCTCCGGATGCACCAAAGGGATATAGAATCCGAAGACAAAGGAAAAAAACAACTGAAATATGCTCTTCCTCTTCGACTGTCACTCAGTTGCTCAATGTTATACTCTGACGCCAGACGTGTGGGGCTTTTCCCCACATACCAAGCAAGCAATCAGTTCTGCAGTGAGCACCAACTGGGTGTCCTTTAACTCAATTCAGTTCTGACGCTGTCTCCCTGGAGATAGCATCAGATCCCATAGGGTGAGGGGAGGGCTCAGAATCCCACAAGACGATACCCCATTTCTGATGCCAAGCATTAAGTCCTATGTTGTCTTACCTGTGCTCCTGTGCTCCTGACCCTTTAGTTACAATTTTGTACAATTTGTACAATTTGTACAATTTTAGTTACAATTAGTCAACTAATTTTGCTAGAGCAGCACACCGAACTCAGGGAAACACTTTACTTACGTTTAACTGGTTTATTCTAAAGGACATAAATGAAGAGACGTATAGGACAAGGCACGCACGAAGAGGCGTGGAGCTTCCATGCCCTCCCTGGGCACCAATCTCCAGGAAACTCCACATGTCCAACTATCCGAAAGCCCTCAGAACCCCTTTTGGGGGGTTTTGCGGAGGCTTAATTACAGAAGCATGATTGATTAAGTCGCTGGTTATTGGAGAGCAACTTAACCTTCAGCCTCTCTCCCTTTCCCAGTGGTTGGAGGATGGGGCTGAAAGTCCCAACCCTCTAATCCTGCTGTGGTCTTTCCATTGACCAGCCACCATCCTGAAGCTATCTGGGAGCCTCCAGCCATCAGACAACATCAGCAGACAAAAAGATCCTTATCATTTTGAGGAGCCCAAAGATTTTAGGAGCTGTGCCTCAGGAAACTAGGTGGAGGACCAAATATGTATTTCACAATATCACAATAACATTTGATCTTATTTTTTCTCTTTGTGAAATGAATTGGTGTAGGAAACTTTAGTTTTGAACTTTGAGAACTATATAACTTTTCACAGACTAGAGGAATGAGAAGATCCAGAGAGGCCTGATAGTTGAGTTCTTTGAAACACATATGTAGATTATACATAAAACAACATTGGCTTTGTAGATAGAGAAAGGGAACAGAGTAGTAGCAGTCAAGATACTAAAAACACATATTTTGAAACTCCAAAGATCACAAAAGAAATGAAGTGAAAGAGATGTGTGAAGAGGTGTGGACGGCTTTGAAAAGGGCTAAAAACAGAGGAATGAAATCGTTTTTCTTATAAATAGGAATCACATAGCCTTGATTGATATAAAGAGTTTTTGAAGACACAGTTGGAGCATTTTGAATACACCTGTTCCTTTGTATCCATTGGGGTTGGTTCCAGGACCTCATCTCTCAATGATACCAAAATCAGTAGATTCTCAAGTCTCTCATATAAAATGGCCTAGTACTGGCCAGGCGCGGTGGCTCACGCCTGTAATCCCAGCACTTTGGGAGGCCAAGGCGGGCAGATCATGAGGTCAGGAGATCGAGACCATCCTGGCTAACATGGTGAAACCCCGCGTCTATTAAAAATACAAAAAATTAGCCAGGCGTGGTGGCAGGTGCCTGTAGTCCCAGCTACTAAGGAGGCTGAGGCAGGAGAAAGGCGTGAACCCAGGAGGCGGAACTTACAGTGAGCCGAGATTGCGCCACTGCACTCCAGCCTGGGCGACAGAGCGAGACTGTCTCAAAAAAAAAAAAAAAAGGCCTAGTGCTTGCATATAATCTATGCACAGTCTTTCTTCTACTTTAAACCATCTCTAGATTACTTATAATAGCTAGTACAGTGTCTATACATCACTTCATTCGTGTGGATTCAAGGTAGTACTTGAGGCACAGCAAATTCAAGTTTTGATTTTTATAACTGTGGAATTTTCCTTAATATTTTTGATCTGAGGTTGGTTGAACCCATGAATGTGGAACCCACAGGTATGGAGGGTCACCCTTTAGTTCTGTGCTTGTTCCCATTGAAAAACAAATAATATACTTTTAAAATTATAATAGTCTCACATTATATAGGGCATTTCTCTTAAGATATCAAGTGTCAAAAATAGCGTTAGGCCTGTATATCAATCCCTTTTGAAATATAATTACTTAGTAATTTCTATAAAAGATCAATGTCAAGGTAGGTTTAATATAGTAAGTTGCCCTTGATGATATATTTTGTGTTTACATCAATTTTTTTAAAAGGTATGCTTTGTTCCTAAAACTAAATAGAATTTTTTGTGGGAATTGTTAGACTCCTTACCTGGTATGGTTTGGCTGTGTCCCCTCCCAAATCTCACCTTGAATTGTAATAATCCCCATGTTTCATGGGCAAGGCCAGGTGGAAATAATTGAATCACAAGGGCGGTTTCCCCCCTACTGTTATCATGGTAGTGAATAAGTCTCACCAGATCTGATGGTTTTATATATGGGAGTTCCCCTGAACAAACTCTCCTGCTTACCACCATGTAAGACGTGATTTTGCTCCTCATTTGTCTTCTGCCTTGATTGTGAGGCCTCCCCAGCCATGTGGAACTGTGAGTAAATTAAACCTCTTTTCTTTATAAATTACACAGTTTCAGGTATGTCTTTTTATTAGCAGCATGACGACAGACTAATAGATTACCTAACACATTTTACAGTGCATTTTCTCTGATTACTGTCCTAGGCCGTAGAGCAGTCTTCAGTGAAGCAAGCCTGGCCCTAGCCTTAGGTGATCCACAATCTGATGGGGGATGTAAAATAATAGTCAAATAATCATGACAGAGTGATCGAGGAAATGCTTTTGAAACCTCAGAAGGAGAGCAGCCTAGGACATTTTGGGAGGCTTCCCAGAGGAATTGATATTTTAGTGGGATCTTGACAATGGGTCGGAAGGAAAGTAAGAGGCTTCACAAAGAAGGTGATATTTTTTGGTGGGATCTTACAGAACTTCTAAGAGTGGAGAGAGCTCTTTCTTTCTCAGAGAGGATCAATAATTTTCCAAGAATCTTCAGTGTACTAGGAGGCTTTAATATATCTTGCAAGATAAAAACCTGCCAAGCACAAAACATTACAGTATCTTTGTCTCAAATCAGAAGCATAGCAAAGTTTTATTGCAGATAAGCTTGATTCATAATCTTCTTATGCCAAACCATCAGATAATTCAAATTCTGTCAAAACTGAGTGAAAAAAAAATCCAAAGTGTGATCAAGCCTTCTGAGAAAAATATATCAGCTCTTTAGAAATTTTTATTTATTTATTTATTTATTTATTTTTGAGATGGAGTCTCGCTCTGTCACTAGGCTGGAGTGCAGGGGCACAATCTTGGCTCACTGCAACCTCCGCCTCCTGGGTTCAAGCGATTCTCCTGCCTCAGCCTCCCGAGTAGCTGGGACTACAGGTGCGCACCACCACACCCAGCTAATTTTTTTTTTTTTTTTTTTTTTAGTAGAGATGGGGGTTTCGCCATGTTGGCCAGGCTGGTCTCGAACTCCTGGCCGCAAGTGATCTGCCCACCTCGGCCTCCCAAAGTACTGGGATTAGACGTGAGCCGTGAGCCACCGTGCCCGGCTCAGCTCCTTAGAAATTAAAATGCTGAATCAATTACTGTGGATTTGTTAGAGATACCTCTGAATTCCACAGGTCTGGAGAGATGTGATCAGGTAGCACATCTAATCTATGGTTTCTCAATATTGATGCTGTTGACAAGGGACAGGATGGTGTTTTGTCGTGGAGGACTGTCTTGTGCATTGCAGGATGTTCGGCATCCTCCTTGGCCTCGACCTTCTAGATTTCAGTAGCAGCCGTCATAGTGGTGATGACCAAAAATGCCTCCACACATTGACAAATGTCCCCTGAGGGGCAAAATCACAACCAGTTTAAAACCATTAATGTCATCAATATATCATTTCCTCTCCCAGAAATGGAGTACAGAGTAGAGACGTGGAGATAGGAGTGATAAAGACAGTGATGGCATTGCTCGCAGCCAACTGTGCACTGCCATTCTGGATTCTCTGCACTCAGCCTAGGACCAGTGACACAAACTGGCCCTTTATGACTTTTGCCTGAGTGGTTCCCTCAGATTTAGAAACAGAAATCCAAGCCACTTGCTTGTCTTGCTGGAAAGAATACATTGCATCAGTTCTTCAATTTATAACCAGTTTGAGAATTCATCAGTATACTTACTTCAAAAAAAAAATTCTTACCATGTGCAATGTGTAAACATGAAAAAAAAAATCCAAGGGAAATAAAACCCATGAAATTTTTGGCCCACTGAGAGTTAACGCAACCAAACAGAAAAGTTGATCCATCAAGGGAAACATAATTGACACAAAAGACAGCAGTAAAATGAAACCCATCATCACATTCTAGGAAATCAATCAGTCTTTGAACATGGCAAGTACAGGAGAAAATGTAACGTAGTTAACAGAAGAGAAGTGGGAAGTGAGTTAGTCAGCAGGCACTGGAGAATTTGGCTAAAGAGAATGTCCTGCAAGCAAAGGACTCTTGGCCCTTTTTCTAGGGCCCCTGGCCAGTCCCATTGTTCCCAAGGCTTTGGCATGTTGAACTGAAGGGCAGCTCCAGCCCAGGATGGACCAGCCTTGCCCAGTGGTCTTTCAATCCACTGGGTCAATCCATGGACCCTGTGGGGCTCCTCTCCCTAGTTCTGAGGCCATGCAATCTGGAAGCATCAACCTTCATTTCGACTCAGACTTTTAAGAACGGTGAAAAGGCAACCTGCAGTTATTCATACGGATCCCACCCTTTTATCCCAGGGAAGTTTCAAAAGGGTTTATGGCCAAGATATTAAATTTCTCTTTGTATTCACCATTGGTGTGAGCCAAAGAGAAGGCAGGGTATTCCACAGGGTATTCCAGATTCTTTCAATCTGGAAAGCCAAACTAGGAAGGTGCCACAAAAGCAGAACAAACACAGGAGACTTCTGGTCCAGAATGCTGGAAGGCGACAAACTGATTGATGAGTGCCATCTCTCTCCTTAGTAACTGTCTTCTTTTAAGAAGTATTATGCGGCCTGGCGTGGTGGCTCACACCTGTAATCCCAGCACTTTGGGAGGCCGAGGCAGGCAGATCACGAGGTCAGTAGATCAAGACCACCCTGGTCAACATGGTGAAACCCTGTCTCTACTAAAAATACAAAAATTAGCTGGGCGTGGTGATGCATGCCTGTAGTCCCAGCTACTCAGGAGGCTGAGGCAGGAGAATCTCTTGAACCCAGGAGGCAGAGGTTGCTGTAAGTCTACATCGTGCCACTGCACTCCAAACTGGCGACAGAGTGAGACTCCATCTCAAAAAAAAAAAAAAGAAGTACCATTCTTCTTTTGACTTACATGCTGTTTGTGTTCTTTGCTGTTAATGGTAGTGATTCCAGTCTTACTAGAACACAATCTCTCAGTTCAGTTTTAAATCAATATGTGCTCTAGGAAACAGCCCATTCAAGGACAAATCCCCTGATCCTGTTTTGTTTGTTTTCTTGGTCCTAGCCATGTTTTTCTCCCTTCTTCACTTGGCAGCAATTGAAGGACTCACGATGTTCCTTTATGCCCCCTTTTGGAGAAGGAGCTCTTCAATGCAATAAGTTAGTCTAGACAAAGAAAATTAGGGCAATTAGTAGAAAGCTAGCAAATGTGCTGTGTAGGAGGCTCTGTCATTACGGACCCTCACTCAGGCTCCTGTGGTTTGGTGTGTGTACAGAATGATAGTTCTGGGTTTCCTCTCTGCAGAGAGGAATAAAATAATACTAGGTTTCAATTAAAGACATAACTGCAATTTAGTCAGGGGTATAGGAACAGAGTGGCTGTCAGCTATGCCAAGCTAATGTCATAAGACAGAAAATCTCAGCACATAGCAAGGGATCCTGAGGCATCTGAGTTACCGCAGCCCTCATACTCAATAAGACACCAAGACTAGCAATTAGAATGCAGACAGAACAAATATTTACATTTTGAGAAAACAAAAGAGGAGGCATCAACAACAGAATGAATCAAAAGCCACAAGGTCTCAGATGTGGGCAAGCAAAGTGTTGCTGTCAGTGTGAAGCAGGAAGGCAGAATTGGTTTCCAGTATTTGCAATTCAGAGATGTAGATTACTGGAAAATTTACAATAACATTGCAGTTTAAAATCTCCACTTCATCCGTGTTACCCAGAGTTGAACATGAGGAGTCAATTGCCCTTTTCCTCCTTCTACCTACTATTAGCTCCAAGTCATTTCTTCATGTGTATATGGATTATGAGTTCCAGAGAGCCTGGATACGTTATTTCGAGGCTTTCAAAGTCCCAGAAATGCTTATGCATTTTAAAAACTGTATTTCAACTCAGAAATCTCTTTTGTTAAGAAGCCTGATGTTCTGAATGATCAGAGGGTATAGTAAAATCTAATAACAGAAGAAAAATTAGGGCTCTGGGAAGGGGCTGTCCAGGAAGGGAAAGAGATGTGTGGCTCCCCTCTCATCTCAAAGTAGTAGGTACACATTTTCCTCTTTTGTTTAATTTTAGATGGGTCACTCATGCAAGCTCATGGAGTGGATCCTGAGTAGGGGATAAAATCCTGGCTGGTTGGGCACATCATAGCAAAGAGACTTGTCACCACCAGGAAGACCACAAGCCAGCCATTATAACTGCAGCGAGGCAGGGTTTTGACCAATTTGGCATGTGTAGGGCTTTTATAAGAAATCCATAAGGGATGGTAAGTAAGAATGGAATGATGGGGGCCTGGCTAGTGAGGAAAAGTTGCTCAGTGCACAAGGCTTGGCTTTAACATGGCAAATGATGCTGACTTTCCCCTTCCTAATGTCTCTAATTCTGAAATTCTATAAGCATGAGATGGTGTCTCAGCCCTTTTTGATCTACATCAACCCATGGTGGATGTCTGCCATGTACTTGGCATCAGTACTTGGGAAAATGACTTGGCTGCCAATTATCTGATGCTGTTATTTCATTTCTAAAATGCAATATCTAGAAATTGTTCATTTGAGAGACATTTCAAAGCATTTGTAGCCAATGTGCCAAGTTTCTGATTCATTTTGGGAGAGACACCCACACGTAGTATTTCACTCAATTTAATATTTTGTAAATAATTGGTATTAGTCGAGTACATACAGTTTACCAAACATGGTTCTAAAAAGTTTTTTGTTGTTTGTTTGTTTGTTTTTGACAGTATCTGGCTATGTCGCCCAGGCTGGAGGGTAGTGAGTGGCACGATCTTGGCTCACTGCAACCTCCGCCTCCTGAACTCAAGTGATCCTCCCACCTCAGTCTCCCAAGTCGCTGGGACTATAGGCACACACCACCATGCCTGGTTAATTTTTGTATTATTATTATTATTTTTTTTTGGAGAGACAAAGGTCTCACTATGTTGCCCAGGCTGGTCTCAAACTCCTGAGCTCAAGTGATTCACCCACCTCCACTTGCCAAAGTGCTGGGATTACAGGCGTGAGCCATCGCACCTGGCCTCTAGAAAGTCTTTACATGTCTTTAATACAAATGCAGGCAGGTGAAATCACTGGATGATTCCATGGTGTTTTAAACCTTTTCCCAGGTTACTGAAAGGGTTGGCATTGTTAGAGAAGCAATCAATCACGAAGGAGCTAAGAAGAAAGTTTAAAAAGGGTAAAAAGTGTGAGTCAAGACAAAGCCACCAGTCATAGCATTTGAGGGGTGCATCTAACCTGAACTCCTGAACGTTTTAGGTTAGCTTATAGATAATAAGAGTAACTAAATTTAAGATCAGCGTGGTCAAGAAATTTTGCTTTCTAGACAATCCTACTTTGACTTGTTCCTCTATTTATTGACTGTCATTACTTTGAATTCTATTGTTTCAAACATGAAATTTAACGAGCTTCAGTGTTTCTTTAGTTTTAATAAAGCAAAACTCGGGTTTTTTAAATGGGCATGGCATTCTGCCAATCATTTTCAGGGTTCAAGATCTGAAGCAAGGTTCTACAGGACATTATGAAAGTTATTGTTTAAATAATGGATATTTTGCATGGTATGTATGATTAATATATTATATTTGTATAAAAGAGTAATATACCTTCACTTTTTGCAGGGCTTACTCAGTGTTTTTGTTTGTTTGTTTGTTTGTTTTTGAGACAGAGCCTTGCCATATTGCCAGGCTGGAGTGCAGTGGCGCCATCTCGGCTCACTGCAACCTCCGCCTCCTGGATTCAAGTGATTCTCCTGCCTCAGCCTCCCGAGTAGCTGGGATTACAGGCACGCGCCACCATGCTCGGCTAACTTTTGTATTTTTAGTAGACATGGGGTTTCACCATGTTGGCCAGGATGGTCTTGATCTCTTGACCTCAGGTGATCCACCCACCTCGGCCTCCCAAAGTGCTGGGATTACAGCCACCGTGCCCGGCCTGAACTCCTTTTGTTGTTTCTTTAGGCATCAACTCCTTTCCCCCTCTTTTTTTGTCAGTGCTGTTTTTTGCATCTACTACACTTCTTAAGTGTCCATCTCTGTGTTCTCTGGGTAGACAACTTCAGAGAACAGAGAGGCTACCAGGCAGGAATTCCTTGCTCCTTAAAACTCATCTCCCTCCACAACTAACTATATTTTTCTCTTTATTTTCTATCTCAAAGAAAGATAACTAATTTTGTCCAGCATTTTCTTTCCTTCCTCTACTTTTACATTTCCCCTATATTTTGCTTTTGTTTATTTAGTTATTTGTTTGCTCACAGTGTTTAAATATATTCAAATAGCTTCCATTTCAAGTTTAAAATTTTTAAAGGTAAAGGAAGGGAGGCAAGGAGGCTACAGGTCTATTCTGGCTTCTGGGGAAAAAAATCTGTATTTAATTTATCTTACTACAGCACAACTAAAAGTGCTTTCACTAATGTATCTAAGTCTTAGGAATTAATTGGTCATTCCAGTTTATCTTCTTTAGTATGTCAGCATCTCACTTTGGTCAGAATTTAGTTGCTTAGTATTCTTGCTTTGCTTGGATTCTGTGGTACTCCTCCTTCCAAACCTCCCTGTCTTCTTTGAAGGTTTGTTATCTTCTGTTCAGCCCAAATAGCAGTTTTCTTCAAGATCCAACATTTGCCTCTTTTAAATCTCACATTATGCATCAGAGACCTTATCCCCATGCACGTAGCTACCGATGGCTTCCAGATCTACAGCCCCCACTGCCATTTTGTCTTAAACTCTACAGATGGCTTCCAGATCTACAGCCCCCGCTGCCATTTTGTCTTAAACTCTACAGATGGCTTCCAGATCTACAGCCCCCGCTGCCATTTTGTCTTAAACTCTACAGATGGCTTCCAGATCTACAGCCCCCGCTGCCATTTTGTCTTAAACTCCTGACCCATATTTTTCACATGTCATGTTTCCCCATCCGAGGAACAATTACCAATCCCCCTCTTGGACTGAGAAAATCAAATTGCCCAGGTATGAATAGCAACTGCTTATCCCTCTTCATACCAATTTACCCTTCCATCCCTGCACATTTTCTTTAGGGTTAGAGACAAATTAACCATTGGCCAATTCAAGGTCACTGCATCCCCCTGTGTGCTTGGCTGCATGACCCTTTCTTCCCATTTAATTATCAGACCTTACTTCAGGATTTGTTATATTCCCTTACTCATATGTTTTAAACCTCACACTTTCAGCTATGTGTTCGTCCTTAGCTTTAAAAATATATTTAAATATATCCCATCCAAATAAGTAAGTGAATGAATAATACATTATCTCCATTGGAGCTGCCTTCCTTCTAACTGCCATAATTGAGGGCTTTTTTTCTTAATCAAATTTCTTGAAATTGAAGGTACTGTGGTTCCAGTTCCTCTTGTCTTACCAGTCTTCAGCTCCTTGCAAGTTGGCTTCTGTGACACCTGCTCCAGTGAAACCTGCTTGCAGTCAGGTCCTACGTGTTCCCAAACTCAGAGGGCTCACTTCAGTCTTTATCTTACTCCACTTGACTCAGCTGACACTGGCTCATTCCCTACTTCTTGGGATCGTCTTTCTGTTGGTTTTCATGGGAGACTTGACTAGGCTTGTCTTTCTCTCTTTTTACTCAGGGTATCTGGTATAAATATTTCTTTCTCTTTTTTCTTTCTTTTTTTTTTTTTTGCGATGGAGTCTCCCTTTATCATCTAGGCTGGAGTGCAATGGCACAATCTCGGCTCACTGCAACCTCCACCTCCCAGGTTCAAGCAATTCTCCTGCCTCAGCCTCCTGAGTAACTGGGATTACAGGCATGCACCGTGACACCTGGCTAATTCTTGTATTTTTAGTAGAGACAGGGTTTCACCAGTTGGCCAGGTTGGTCTCAAACTCCTGACCTCAAGTGATCCCCCTGCCTCGGCCTCCCAAAATGTGGGGATTACAGGCATGAGCCACTGTGCCTGGCCAATATTTCTTTCTCACATTCGTCCTTTAAACATTGGTTTACCAAGGATGTCATTCTTGGCTTTTTAAAATTTTTTTTCACAATCTCTCCTTTGTACTATCTTTCTTCTTTACAAACTCAAAGAAATGTTGTAGTTAAAAAACAAAAACAAACACAAAACTGGTTTTGAGAACCTGAACAAAGCTCAGCTCTCCACTCACTTTTACTAACAACACAACTATGGATAAGTTGCATAATCTCTTTAAGTATTAGTTATCACCTCTGTAAAGGGAAGTGTTCATATCAACTCAGATTGTTATCGTGGGTATAATGGATATAACATACACAGTAATGTAAAGTATTACTCAATGCCTATACTAAGTGCTCACAACTATAATTTTATTATTATTGTCTTTATAATTATATTTAACTAATAGCTCTATGTTATAGACTCAAATCTATCATCTTACACAGAGTCCTCTCTTGGAGTTCAGATTTATATAATAACTACTAGATGTCTCTACTCAGATATACCTCAATGATCAACATACAGAAACAGACAGATCATCTCTCCCTTCCTCTCCAGACCCACTCGTCCTGCTGTGTTTCTTCCCTCAGTTGGTAGCTAAGTATCTGGCGTCACCAAATTTTCGAAACCCAAAGGTTCTAGCTTCCTCAACATGTTTCTGTCCCTTCTTCCCGCCCATACACCAATGCCTTGTTCAGGCCCTCACTTTTTCCTACCAGGGTGATTGCAGTAGCCTCCTAACTAGTCTCCTGCATTTTAGCTTTTCCTCATTTCAGTTCATCTTCCATAGTATTGCATTTTTTTTTTTTTTTTTTTTTTGAGATGGAGTCTCGCTCTGTCGCCCAGGCTGGAGTGCAGTGGCAAGATCTCAGCTCACTGCAAGCTCCACTTCCTGGGTTCAAGTGATTCTCCTGCCTCAGCCTCCCGGAGTAGCTGGGACTACAGGCGCCCGCCACCATGCCCAGCTAATTTTTTTTTGTATTTTTAGTAGAGACAGGGTTTCACCGTGTTAGCCAGGATGGTCTCAATCTCCTGACCTCGTGATCTGCCCGCCTCAGCCTCCCAAAGTGCTGGGATTACAGGCGTGAGCCACTGCACCCGGCCTTTTGCACTCTCTTAACTGCAGATGTGATGTCTCTCTTAGAGCAGAACCCTTTCAGGGTTCCTCATAATTGACATAAAATCCAATCTATTGAGTAGCACATATGTAGATTTCTCCATGACCTTGTCCCTGCCTTCCCTTTTATGTTTCAGTGAAAACTGATTGTTTTTCTCACATTTTGTATGCTCTATTTTTTTGCTCATGCTGTCCTCCTCCCTGAGATGCCTCACACCTCTCTTCCTGAATTGTCCATCATCTGCACTTTCTTCAAGATCTTTCTCAGGTTTGTCCCTGCTTCCTTATTCAACACCATAAGGTTAAGCTAATTTCAATTTCAGGACTAGCCCATTCATAACTATTTTGGTGCATTTTCCACGTTTGATTCAAGTTATCTGTTTGCAACTCTGCCTTTCCAACAAATACATATCAACCAAAAGTAGCACCAGGTCTTACCTTACATATTTAATAGTAGTAACATTTTTCCATGTGAACTAAACGTCACAGGCAACTCAAAAATGACATGCTCCTGATGGAATTGAGGCTCTCGTCACAATCGTCCCCTCTTTCTGTAGACTAGTTTCCCAATAATGGAAGCAGTCACCATCCATTCTATCAGCCAAATCAGAAACCCTGGAGGCACAGCCAATGGTATCTCAATATCTGTTCAACCACCAAAATCCTTTCTGTCTTGCCCACCCATCCTCCAAATATCTCTCAGATCCAACTGCTCCTCTATCCCAATTGTTGATTCTTTCTTTGACTTTGTGGGAGGCTGTGTGTACTGCTAGATGCCAATCACTTTGTCCTACTTCTACACAGAGCCACCTACTCCCCTTGTCCCAGTTGTGCCTCCTCAGTGCTTCTGATGGGACTTTCTTATTACATAAATATATTATGCTTAAAATTCTCAAAGGACTCCCTCGTTTCTTCAGGATAGAGTTCTATAACATTAGCATGAGATACCAAGGGCTTCTCAACTGTAGAGTTTTCCAGATTCAGCTCCAAGTATTTATCATGCCTTGTGTGCTTTAGCTACAGAGACCTACTTTCAATTCTCAGAACATGCAATGCCCTCACAGACCGCTAAACTGATCTGTTCTCTTTGGCTAGAATGCCTTTCCTTTTCCCAACCTTTTCACAGCTAGCTCATTTCTATTAGTTCTTTAAGGGCCAATTCAGATATTCCTCCACTTTTCATTATTCTCATAGGAAGTGATTTTCATTTTCCCAGTCTCTACTCCCAGATCCCCCTTCTTCACACCTCAGGCATACCTGTCTCATACATCTCATAATGCTGACTACATTGTGTTCCTTTTCCTGTCCAACTCCTCTACAAAATGCTGAGTTCTTTGTGGGTAGTTTCTGTATCATAGTCCCCTCTGTATCGCAATATCAATTACAGTACCTGCTGTACATGAGGACTTGCTTGTTACGGGTTGAATGAATAATGAATATAAATAAAGCTCAGAAAACTTAAATGACTTGAAGAGTATGAAGAGTGTGAAGCAAAACAGTGTACACTTCAAAGCAGAATGCTATAGCCAGTAAAGTGCCCAGGTTCTGTGCATGACTTTGGGAAATAAACTGGGTTTGACTCCTATCTTGGCTATTTACTAATTAACTATATTTAGATAGAGACTTAACTTCTCTAAGTATTTCTTCTCTATGAAATGGTGATGGTGATGATGATGATGATTCTTACCTGAGGTGGTTCTTGCCATATATCTATCTATCTATCTATCTATCTATCTATCTATCTATCTATCTATATATATCTCTTATATAAAGTGGTTATTCCAGTACTTGACATAAGATTGGCCCTCAGTAAATGTCACTTCTATTTCTTCCTTAAATCTGGCAGATTGCTTTAAATTGTACTTTTTATATTGATTAGTCTTTTAGTTAGAAATGATTGCAAGAGTGAAAACCAATTGCATAACTTTGGTTAACTTTGGGAAATTGTCATCAAGTTAGAGACTCATAGATTTATAGAGATGGAAGGGACAATTAAGATAATTTAGTTCAAGGCCGGGCACTCTGGCTCACACCTGTAATCCCAGCACTTTGGGAGGCCGAGGCAGGTGGATCATCTGAGGTCAGGAGTTCAAGACCAGCCTGGCGAACATGGTGAAACCCTGTCTCTACTAAAAATACAAAAATTAGCTGGGCATGGTGGCGTGCACCTATAATCCCAGCTATTCGGGAGACTGAGGCAGGAGAATCACTTGAACCTGGGAGGCGGAGGTTGCAGTGAGCCGAGATCGTGCCACTGCACTCTAGCCTGCAGCCTGGGAGACAAGAGCGAGACTCTGTCTAAAATAATAATAATAATAATAATAATTTAGTTCCAAATCCTCACTTTTTATATAGGGAAATCATGGTCTTAAAAGATTAAGTTCTAGGTCAAAGAGCTTGTTAGAGGCTAATTGTTTCTTGTCTTGGACAGGAAACAAAGTGTCTACCAATGGCTATCGTTTCCAATTGTTTGGATTGAAGAAACTCACATGACAATTATATTTCAAGAGAAATGAGAGCTAGCTGGGCACGGTGGCGGGCGCCTGTAATCCCAGCTACTCAGGAGGCTGAGGCAGGAGAATCGCTTGAACACAGGAGGCGGAGGTTGCAGTGAGCCGAGATCACGCCATTGCTCTCCAGTCTGGGCAACAAGAGCAAAACTGTCTCAAAAAAAAAAAAAGAAGAAGAAAAAGAAAAGAAAAGAAAAATGAGAGCACTCAGAGCTGAGTCCACGTCAGGGAGCAGGCAGACGCCTTGCAGGTAATGGGCAGAGCAGTGGCCTCGCCACATAACCACACACCAACTCCACTATTCTGTTCCCTAATTTCCTTTGTTTGGGAAGCTTTTCTTTTCCAATGAAAAGAAGAAGCACTCAGTGGAAAATTCTGAAATACTATTACATACAAATCTGATTAAAATTGCAGCAACTGTAAACCTTAACTTGAGACGGACGCATTTCCCAGGCTGACATGCAGCTCTGATCATGTTTAATTTCAACGTTTCTGTCTAGCTTGTACTGTGCTGCTTTTCCTCTATTAAGTAATCTTCCAGAAAAATTTAAAGTTGTAATAATATCACCAATTTGTTTGAGGTACTCCAGCGGGTTAGAAAGAAAATCCATATAAATAGAGATGAACACAATGGAGAGAGCATGAAATAAAAGTATCAGTCTGTGCCAGAAAGTGGGGAAAAAGCTATATGGCTGAGACTATTTCTTCCTCTTATGGGAATCCAAGTGGGATCTTCTATATGAGTCTTCCTTGGTTAAGGGAGTTTTCTAATTCCATGAGTATTTTGGCAATAAGTTCAATTATCCCAATTATTTGTGACCAAATCTGATTGAAGATTTAACAGAATAAAAGAAAGCCTTTAATAACACAGGCTTCTAAATGTCTGTCATCATTTGAAATTTCATAGGATGGTTTACTCCTGCTCTGTAATTTCTTTAAAACTGCAAAAGTTAGCTCAAGAAAGCATTGTGATTTTCCATTCATTTCCTTCGTTTTTTACTATCTTTCACAAGCATTTGATTGCTAGACAAAGTGAATGATTCTCTCAAACTGTGAGGCCCTATTTTTGTCCTTTAGATTCAAGGAAAAATACAACCGAAGGAATAGCGTTTGGCTTGGAGTTCTTCATACGTGGCTAGCATAGAAAGAATCTCAGGACTTTTTGGTGGTTTATCATTGCATCGCCTTATGGACCATTGATCTTTTTATTTTCTAAAAGAATGGTTTCATTTGCGATGGTCCTAGTTTAGAGTGGTTAGTGATGATAACTATTATTTATAACTCTATGTAATTCCTTTGAATTGTATATTTTATGCACAACAATTTTAAGATACCTTTCTTTTCATGGAAGCCACATGTGATCCTTTTGATCCTTACACTAGTAAACAGAGTCATATATTTTAGAGAGGAATGTTGAGAGCTAGGTGTGTAGAAAGTATCTGGAGAATAGCTTGGTTTTTTGTGTGCGAACCAGAAATGATGAGAGAATTTAAAGCAGTAAAGGCTTTTAGAAATCAGCTTGTCTGGCAGGTTCCAAAATATGTCCCTTGCTTGTAATGCTAGTCCAGTGAGATACTTCTCCACAGTTTCCATTGTCTGAGAATTCAGGAAATCTGCACATTATAACTCTCTTTTAGAGACTCACATATCACATTAGTCACATTTAAGTCTTCCAGAAAAGGGGCTTCTGTGGCTCTTTTTAACCCTGGTTGACTTAATTCATATGGTTATAGAACTCCTTATTGTTCCACGAAACTAGCATTTAGAGACTGATGTTTTAGGGAATGTTGAGGTACTACCTTTTCTTGAAAAACCGGGTGCCCAATGAGGTTGTCAAATGGTCAATGAGTATCTGAGACTAGAACCCTAGTCTTCTGACTTCAAGTCCAATATTTCCTACATAGAGCTGAAATGTTAACCAGAATTTCAGGATAACCGGTGTCCCAAGAATATCTTTTCAAAGTCCTCAAGTGGTGAAAGTAAGGGCTGCCTCTGTGTTTGCTTATTAAATAAGTCATTCTTATTCAAGCAGCAATGATAAATGTCAATGTCCTAGACTATATGAAATAAACCTGGGAATCTAAAGGGATTAAGGATACGCAGACATTGCTTGGGAGTGTAATAGCAAAGCATCTTCTCTCAGAAAATTTAGGGCAACTTATAGCACTAATATGCTCACCCCATTACCATTTTTTTAAAAAAAATCATTAAAAATGTATTTATAGGACTTTCTGATAATCTTGGAATTTCATGATTAAGAGGGTTCTGAGCAAACTTAAGTTGTTTCTGTTCTTTTTTTTTATTCATCTGACATATCTCTTTACTTGTCATATTGTATAACAGATACGTCAGATATGTATTTATATTAGCTTGCTGGAAGGTAGATGCCCACATAGGTTATTCTTCTGGGAAGTCATTTCACAATAAGATGGTTCTTTAGCTGGGGTCATGAGAATGACAACATGGGAAGACCGAGATTTTGTTAAATGAGCTGTTATCCTCTATGTTCATTCAAATGGTTCCAACTTTCCATTCCCTGTTGTCATTTCCTAAATTCTTTGATGCAAATATACAATCACCAGTTTAACAAACTTTATAAGAAAAAAAAAACATAATCATAGGCAGCTAAAAAAAAAAAAAAAAAAGCCTATCCACTGGTTCAAATGAGTCAATCAAGAAGGCACAAGATGGATTTTAATGACATCATTGGGTCCAAACTTCCTGAGAGCTCATCCATGTGTCTTCCCAGCCTCACCAGGAAATCCTGCAGGAAAATTCCTTCCCAAGCCCTTTATAGACCTACTGAATGAAGGCTAGAAGGTTCGTGTGAGCATCAGAAATGGTCAGATAATAAAGCAAATACAATCCAAACAGTTTTGATCGTGTTCCACCTTAGGGCGACTCTGGCTGCTGAACACAGGGACTCATCAAGTGCTCCTTTCAAGAAAGCCCTGAGAGCCCTTTCTCGGGGATGTAGGAGACAGAGATGGAAAACCACTCAGGTTAAGCGAGTCTCCTTGATGTGGCTTTGGCAAAGCTGGATGCTAAATCTGAAGCTCTACTCGGATATAAAGGACTGTTCTAAGGCTAGAAAGTCATAAAACCCCAGCAGGCAGGCTGTTCATCATTTCCCTGGCAAGGCCTTGGTACGGCTGCAACTGAGAAGCCAGAGTGCTTGGACCTGCACTGGAGGGGCCGGTGAGAAACATTTTCAAGTGCAGATTCGTCTCAGCCACTCACCGAGCACAGTGAGAATGGGCATGGTACTAATTACTTAGGTAATTACATAATTCGATTGCAGTTGTTTTGTGGCTTATGGGTTTATCCACAGAAAACAGTACCTACCATTCCTAAAATACATATACATTTTTTTCAACCCAGATACAACTTTCTCCTTGTGGCCAATAATGTTTCTAAAATATTAGGGTTTGGAGACAGGTGAATAATGAGTGACTGGCTGGTGAGAATCACGGCCATTTGGGGTTTCAAATGGACTAATGTAATAAACATTATTGAGCCTCTGCTTCATGAAATTCACATAGTAAAATCCAAACCCAGAAATGTCAAAGTCCCTTGAACTTGTCTCTGAGGCATAGTAAAAAACGAAAAGTCAAAGTCCCATAAGAAATTTCATTATTTAAAAGGCAACTGTATCTCTCAGAGTAAAATTTGATACTCAAATAGATATTTAAATGGAGCTCAAACTTCTGTGACCCTCTGTCTTTTCAAATATAACAGAGGAATAAGAAGTTTACTATTCTTTATTGTGAGAGTTAAATGAGAGAATGTGTGTCAAGATGTCAGCACAGTGCCGGGCACATAGCTTAGCTTTGAGGATTATCTATTATAAGTATTGTGTTTTTTAACCCAAATTTTCTGTATCTCTGAAAATTATTATCTGGATTTTCTATTTAATCCTTTTTTATTTTCTTTCTATAATTTCATTTTCCTCTGGTGTTAAAAAACCAGGACACAACCATGAGGCCATTACATTTTTTATTTGTTTGTTTTGTAATTTTACATACTGCGTGGTGGAATAAACAAAGATAGAAATACGACACTTGGATTTGAGTTTTGTATTCACCATGGCTGTTTGACCTTAGACAAGTAATTAGAGACTTTGTGTGCTTATATACGAAGTAGGGATAACAGTACCACATTTGTGTACTGTGGTAGAGATTAGAGATCATGAACATTATAGTTTAGCTGTGTAATACACATTGAATAAATGAGAATTTGTTTCAGCTAAATTCTTTCTTCCTTCTTCCTTTTCTGTCTCACCTACGTACCTCCCTTGTCCCTCTCCTTCCTCAGACCTCTTATAAACACACTAACACATACATTCAAAATGTTTTCTCCTGTCAGCAGAGAAGCAGATTATAAAATGTTTTTATTTTCTTCCTGTCCTCTTTGATTGTCCTTAAACAAGGTATTTTTGTAAAATCTGAGTACACACTAAGAAGTTGGTTCAAAAGCAAAGACACTAAAATTAATACTAATCTACTTTAATGATAGAAAATTGCCCTAATTATCTTTATGCAGTATTATTTTAAAGACTCCCAGTGAGTCCTATAAATAGTTTCAAGTTACAAATACAGAGTGATACATGATGATCAACAACTGTGCATCTTGTAAAATCTATCAAGATTAAATTTCCTTTCTTTAATAAGAATTAATGGCATTTTATATCTGGGCTGCTGAGATAAGTAGAAAACATACCACCAGATCTAGAAAAGGATTAATCAACATGTCAGGGATACAAATTACTGACATTGACAACGTACCCTGTGCTGGAAATGGACTTAATTCTTTTTTCCTGCTCATGAGCTCTTTCTGTTTCTCTTCCTTTACTTCTCAGCCATCTCACTAGTCTGGGCTTTGAAGATTGCTGTTGGTAAGTATTGCTTAGCTGGTAGAACATCAGCTAATAGGGTTAAAAGGTAACAAGATAACTGACCCCATCCTAGAGGTTCAAGTTTCTCTCCAGCCAGTGCCCTTAAGCCATCTCTTCATATGCTCAGAAAAGTCACTTAGAAATGCAATTTTTAACCTGGCGACATCCAAATTCCATTTTTTGCTGCGTGTAAATATTGAAGGACTTTCACTAAAGCACAGATTTTTTTTTCGTAATTTGGAACATTGTAATTTGGAACAGCAAAAGAACAATGTGCGTCTGTCTATGAGATGCTCTTGAAGACACGTCCACGTAAGCACGGAGATTTGGAATTGCCTCAAAGACAGATGGGGGTCAGAGAGTGCCTGGGAGATCAGTAATAGAATATTTAAATCAAAGTACTTCTTGGGAGAGAGGCAAGTTAGAGAAGAAGGCAGGAGTAACCTGATCTAGGCCGTGGCACCGAGGCTAGCAGCTGCACCAGGGCTCTACTGGATGGCTGAGCAAGCCAGAGGGAACACAGCTTTAAATGCTTGCCGGATTAGTGTTGAAGGCACAGTGAAGACTGAGCTGCTTTGATTTCTGCAGAAACCAGCATGTTAAGCTTGTGTGCTGTTTGTAAGAAATGCCTTAATTTTGACAAAATAATCACCCCCAAACTACCCATCCGTTGCAATTATTGTCATGATATGATTATAAAATAGACTCCTAATGTCTCAGGATGAATTGTCCACCACCTGGGTATCTGAATCACGTTAGAGAGGCGTGGCAGACGAAACAATGCCCCCCTCCAAAGATGCCCACGTCCTAATCCCTGGAACCTGTAAATATGTCACCTCACCTGGCCAAAGGGACTTTGTAGATATGATTCAGTTAAGGACCTCAGATGGAGAGATTATCCCGGGTAATCCAGGCAGGCTCAATATAAACACGTGAGTCCTTAAAGCAGGAGTACGTTTCTTGGCTGTGGTCAGAAGGAGATGTGACTGCAAAAGAATGGCCAGAGAAATGCAACGTTGCTGGCTTTGAAGATAGGGAAATAATACCGGGAGCCAATCAATGTACACAACTCCTAGAAGCAGGAAAAGGCAAGGAAATGATTCTCTCCTAGAACTTCCAGAAAGAAACACATCCCTGTTGACATCTTGATTCCAGCCCAGTGAGACCCATGTCAGATTTCTAACCGACAGAACTCTAAGATAGTAAGATTAGAACTGGGCGCGGTGGCTCACGCCTGTAATCGCAACATTTTGGGAGGCCGAGGAGGGTGGATCACTTGAAGTCACAAGTTCAAGATGAACCTGGCCAACATGGTGAAACCCCATCTCTACTGAAAATACAAAAATTAGCCAGGTGTGGTGGTGCACACCTGGAATCCCAACTACTCGGGAGGCTGAGGCACCAAAGTCGCTTGAACCCGGGAGGCGGAGGTTGCAGTGAGACAAGATTGGTTGCCACTGTACTCCAGCACTCTGTTTAAAAAAAAAAAGAAATTAACATTTGTGGAGTCTTAAGCCACTAAATTTGTGGCCCTTTGCTACGGCTGCCATAGAAAACAAATCCAGGAGGATTACAGGTTGCACAAGTAGAGCCCTCCCCATTTCCCTTCATTCCAGAAAAGCCCCTCATGGCTCCAGGCTGAGAGCCAGGAGAGCCTTAAGATCCATCCTTTGGGCCTGCTGCCTATCTCTCCAGAGAGAAGGTAAGCAAGGAGCAGTAGACCTACCTGCGGCACAACCCCTACATGGAGACACAGCACTGGACACAGCTCAGAAATCTTAAGGAAAGAAATTAGGACATTTCTTGCGCAGTAAGTGTGTCATTGGGAAATGGTCAGAAGCTTGCACAGAATCCAGTGTTAAAGGGAGAAGGGAGAGAAAGGAAGTGAGTACCAGTCATTTAGGGCCTGCACCCACTAGGTGCTTTACATTCACATGGAATTGTAGCTGAGGTTCCCGAGGAAGTAGAGAAAACTAAGGCTCACAGTCAATGTGTGAACTGCCCAAGGTCACGGTGTCTCAGTAGCTGGGACAGGAGGTGAGAACTAGGCCTGCCTGACCCCAAAGCCCCTGGGCTTTCCACGACTGGCCTAGCTGTTAAATCCCATTGCTTCAACATCATTATCATGAGGTCACTTTGGGCTCGTGCTAAAGGGGCTGAGGCCCTGCTGATATGTCTATTTTTGTCTTGGAAGTAGTTCAGAAAACCATGGTAGGAAAAAAGTGTGCAAAAGAAAGGTCATCAAAAAATAAACACATTTCATTCTAGTATGGCTTTTGTTGTTTTATGTCACACTTGGGAAGGCCTTCACCACAAGTAGATTATCTTAAAAAATCATTCTTCTATGGCTTCTTCTAATGCTTTTCTGTTTCAGTTATATCTCAGGTCCCTGGGGAATTTGTACTGGTGTACTGTGAGCAATTAACCCAACCTTATACTATACAGATTACTTGTCAGTTGTCCCAACACCATTTATTGTAAAATCTATAATTCTGCACTTATTCAAAATGCCACCATAAATCACTTCTTAAATTCCCAAATGTATCTATGTTTTTTTTCTGAACTCCCTATTCTATCTCATAGGCAAATCAAAAGACAATGAACTAGATTTAAAAAAATTACAATACATGTCATAGACAAAGAGTATAATATGTAAATTACCTCTAAAAAATCCATTGAGCTGGGTGTGGTGGCCCATGCCTCTAATTCCAACACTTTGGAAGGCCAAGATGGGAGGATCACTTGAGGCAAGGAGTTCATACCAACCTGGCAACATTTTATTTTTTGTCTTTACAAAAAATAAAAAATTAGCTGGGCGAGGTGGCATGTGCCTATAGCTTCAGCTACTTGGGATGCTGAGGCGGAAGGATTGCTTGAGCTCACAAGTTTGAGGTTGCAGTGAGCTATGATTATTACATCACTGCACTCCAACCTGGGTGACAGAGCAAGATTCTGTCTCTTAAAAAAAAGTCAATCAAAATGATTAAAAGATGAGTAAAGGATTTAAACAGACAATATATAAATAGATGTTAAATAAATCAAAAGTTACTTAACCTTTTAATGTGGAAATGAAAACTAAATGTTAGTAACACACAACATTGGCAAAAATATGTGGTTGCTGAGCATACAAACTGCCATGGCCTCTAAGGAAGACTGTTTGGAAATGCCTATCAAAATTGCAGCTACATGCAGCCTTTGACATAGCCATTTTTCTTCTAGGAGTTTATATTAAAGGTAAAATTTCATATATTTAAGTAACCCATGTGTAAGATTTTTCATTGCAATCCTGCACGTAGTGGCAAATAACACACACACATGAAAAAACAAAACAAAACAAAACAAAAAAACTAAAGGATCATCAATAAGTTACTGGTTAAATAAATTCTTACAATACATTTAATGAATGACTATGCAGCTCCAAAACAACAACAACAAAAAAAAACAGTGAGAACACTCCTTGTGTATTGGTATGGAGTTTTCTTTAGTTATATTGTTAAATGTCTCCCCAAAGGACATTTGGGGATGTCTGGGGAACATTTTTGGTGTCACATCTGGAGAGGGAGGGAGAAACTGCTACTGGTGTCTAATGGGTGGAAGCCAGGAATGCTACTAAACATTCAACAATGTACTTGACAGCCCCTTACAGCACAGAATGATCCAGCCCAAAATATCAATTGTGCTGAAGCTGAGAAACCCTGCTCCAGAGTGATGATCAGAAACTGATTATATTACTAGCCAGGCCTGGTGACACATGCCTGTAATCCCAGCTACTCGGGAGGCTGAGGCGGGAGAATTGCTTGAATATGGGAGGCAGAGGTTGCAGTGAGCTGAGATCGTGCCAATGCACCCCAACCTGGGCAAGAGTGAAAACTCTGTCTCAAAAAAAAGAAACTGATTATATTCCATACCTATTGAGCTAAGGGTCAGGGATGGGTTGAAAGTGTTCATTGCCTTCCATTTTGTAATTGTTGAATTATGTACCTGTATGTACATGTATTATCCATTCAAAAATATATAAATAGCACTGTCTTCTTTTTTCATGGTTAAAGTCATTGTTGAATCTTTTTTTAAGAAGGTGTTTTATGGAGATGGGAAGAAAACTCTTTGATTTTGCTTGTGATTTACCTGTGATTTTTCTTCCTTCGTGGCCTCTTGTTCTTTGTAAATAAAGCTCAAGGACATCTACATTGGTTGTTTCGAGATAGATGAAGTGTTCTTTCCTGGAAAGGAACTCCAAACAATAGAGTGACACAGGAGCACGAAGTTGCAATGTATTGTATCTCACCAAACAGGCTTTAGTCTTAGCAAACACCAGAGAAAATTGTCACCTAAATTACTAAAAGTTAACAAATGTGTAAGTCAATGTTTTCTCAGGGGCAAGGGCAAACATTCATATAAAAGGAACTGATAACATAGAGGTGCCTTTTACTCCTGACAACAATGACGTTCTCTAGGGACCTTTAAAGATTTCTCTGGAATCATTTTATAAATCTACTGTAAATTTTCATTATTAATGGGTCCAGCTCCATTTTACCACTAGATGTTGGTGGTAAAATTGTATTTACCATTAAATCTCTTCTCTGTCTTAATTACCACTGTTCCAAAATTGCTTTGCCAAGGTAAAGCATTCAATGGGGACTTGAATGTGCCAGAAGCCAGATACATTGTTGTCAGGGGAGGACTTTGCCCAGAGTGTTATTCACGGCTTTCCCTGGCATTCACGTTTCAAAAGTCTGTGCTCTATATTTGCTCTTTCATTTCAGTATAATCCCTTTTTTCGTCTCTTTCTCTTTGTTTCAGGATTTTCTTTGAAATTGCAATTATTGTCTTAGTTTTTTTTGTTTGTTTGTTTTTGTTTTTTTTTTTTTTTGGAGACAGGGTTTTGCTCTGTCATCCAGGCTGGGGTGTGGTGGTGTGATCATGGCTCACTGAAACCTCAACCTCCTGGGCTCAAGCAATCCTCCTACATCAGCCTCCCGAGTAGCTGGGACTACAGGTGTGTGCCACCATGCCGAGCTAATTAAAAAAAAATTTTTTTTTTGGTAGAGATGGGGTTTCACCATGTTGTTCAGGCTGGTCTCAAAATCCATGGCTCAAGTAATCTGCCCACCTCGGCCTTCCAGAGTGCTGGGATGATAGGCATGAGCCACTGACCCTGGCCTACATTTAAAATTATATTTTAAAAACACAGAAAAAAAATACATCACATATGTGACCACCAATGTGTATGAAATGTTGGTGGCCTTACAGGTAGAAAGAGTTGGCCATTTTAAGCACAATATGGGCGACCCCAGGCAAGTTCTCTAGTGTGAATAGAAAATATTCTAACAGATGTCATTTTCACCTGCCATTTCCCCATTTGCGCTTCCTTTGGTATGCTAACTGCCATTTCCTGTTTCTTTGTTTTTTTGTTTTTTTTTGAGACGGAGTCTCACACTGTCGCCCAGGCTGGAGTGCAGTGGTGCCATCTCGGCTCACTGTAAGCTCCGCCTCCCGGGTTCACGCCATTCTCCTGCCTCAGCCTCTCGAGTAGCTGGGACTACAGTCGCCCCTCACCATGCCCGGCTAATTGTTTTTTGTATTTTTAGTAGAGACGGGGTTTCACCGTGTTAGCCAGGATGGTCTCGATCTCCTGACCTCGTGATCCGCCCACTTCGGCCTGCTAAAGTGCTGGGATTACAGGCGTGAGCCACCGCGCCCACCCCTCCCGTTTCATTTTTTTAAGATATAGAACAGTGAGAAAGCAGGGGAAAGAGAGAACATATTAAGGTCTTTGTGTGTGGACATCTATAAGCTGCTTCCATCACTCACAAGACAGAACCAGGAAAATATAAAGCCTTCATAACTGACAGCATAGGGAATGGAACAGAGCAAGGGACTCCCAGATGGAATTTAATGGCATCAAAATCAGATTTCACCTAAACCACAGTTATATGAAGAGTGTATTTTGGTACTTTATGTTGTCCTGCTTTTCCAAAAAATAACCAGAGGATGGGATACTGAACCAGATTGTTGGTTCTAAGCTAAATTTAGCAAAAACAAACAAACAAAAACTAAAATGCTTTTTTTTTTTTTTTTGCCCATGAAGACAAAATATCATACCAAAAAAACCTTAAAAAGATAAACATATGTAAAAACATTAATTCCTGGACTGGCACAGTGGCTCACATCTACAATTCCAGCACTTTGGGAAGCCGAGGCAAGAGGATCACTTGAGGTCTGGAGTTCAAGACCAGCCTGGGCAACATGGTGAAATCTCGTCTCTACTAAAAATACAAAAATTAGCTGGGCATGGTAGCACGTGCCTGTAGTCCCAGCTACTTGGGAGGCTGAGGCAGGAGAATTGCTTGAACCCAGGAGGCAGAGGTAGTAGTGAGCCGAGATTGTACCACTGTACTCCAGCCTGGGCAATGAGTAAGACTCTGTCTCAAAAAAAAAGAAAAAGTTTCTGCACTTAATGAATTTATAATCTGAATGAGGAAAAAGGAAAAAAAGACACTTTTATGAAACATCTATTTCAGTCTTGTTCCTCAAGGTAACTTATCTATGAGCAGAGTCCACTCACACTGTCCCAAAGCCTCATTCAGCCATGACCATTTTGTGAAAAGAGACAGTAAAGGTTGAGGTGGTTATTTGTCCCCCTGCATTCTGCTGCTTGGAATCCTGTGTTTGAAAGAGAATGGACTAGTTGACCACCAGAGCTCATCCCAACTCTAACACATGACTCCTAGGCTCAAAGGCTTTAAGAGCAAATTAGGGTAATTGACCATGTGCTTGGCATACTCATACACACAAAAATTGCATACTGAAGAAGTAAGTTTGAGCTGGCCTTTATAAGTGGGAGAGCAATTCCGGATTATAGTTTTGATGACTATTTTATTTTATTTTATTTTATTTTATTTTATTTTTTGGGATGGAGTTTTGCTCTTGTTGCCCAGGCTGGAGTGCAATGGCACAATCCTGGCTCACCGCAACCTCCGTCTCTCGGGTTCAAGCGGTTCTCATGCCTCAGCCTCCTGAGTAGCTGGGATTACAGGCATGCGCCACCACGCCCAGCTAATTTTGTATTTTTAGTAGAGACGGGATTTCTCCATGTTGGTCAGGCTGGTCTCAAACTCCCGACCTCAGGCGATCCATCCACCTCGGCCTCCCAAAGTGCTGGGATTACAGGCGTGAGCCACCGCTCCTGGACTTGGTGAGCTTTTCATACTCCATTGCTAAGTCCTTTTTATTTTGCTTTATATATCTTTTGTGGAAGATAGAAATAAGTTGATGATGCCCTCAAGAAAAAAAAAATGTATCTTTTTATCCCCAGTACAGAGTAGACAAACAATAAGGATTGGTTTCAGAAAACTTGAGAAATAAAAGGATGGAGGAAGAAAGAATATTTAATCTCTATCAAAACAAATATGCTTTCAGATTTAAAAAAATGTTACGTGAATACCGTATATGTTGATATCTAACTTGACCAAGAGTCCAAAAATAATTTTTGAAACTTAGTATTACTGATTGGTTTATCGGTGGGAATATGGGAATTTTATTTTTGGAAAACGGTGGTTATAAAGGCTAAGTCCTGTTACCAGGATAGAGATGAAGCATGAAAAAATAAAGGTGGCAAAAAGAAAGGAAATAAAGGAAAAAAAAAAAACTAGAGAAGTTAGGAGAAAGTTGTGATAGTAGAATCAATTCAAACAGTGACATTAGCAAGGAGCTACCTATATCATCATGGGCAGGGTGAGACAAAACTTCCAATTATAATTTTATATCCAGTCTAAGAGCATTTGTTGTGCGGACACATGGTCCCATACACATCACTGCCTTTTGTTTTTTCCTTAAACTAATATGTGAATTGAACACTTAGAAAACTTGAGGAGTGTTTCTTCACCTTCCAAAAATATTTGCTTTTTGAGAGAATCTATTGTAAAATTCTTTCACATAGTTATAAACTTTTAGCCTAATATGTATGTATGTGTGTGTGTAATGAATCAGTTCCTGAAATTTGGTTTCCATTGAGTATTGTCTCTTTATTTATTACACCCTGAAGACCCACAAGAACACTAGTCTTTAGAAATAACTGAAGTCTGTCAAGAAATAAATTCATCAAGCAACATAAACATGCTGTCACTTGTAAAGACAATATGTACTTTGAGAGCCTTTGTTTTCCCATTAGTGATGTTTGGTAGCACCAAGCCACGCATGCAGATTTTCATCCAAAGCCTCTTTTGACCAATGGCATAACTTTTGAAGTAGGAGCAGAGTGAAATTCGTTGCCATGAAAACGGGTGTTTATTTTGGTGAGGTGGATGTTTCTGAATGAGATGTAATTCTTTGATGAGAACATGATTTTCAAATAGAATTATCTGTTCTTATTAATTGATCTAGACAACAAATCCAGAAACTCTTAGATGTCAGTTGTTAACTCTTGACTTTCAGACATGAGAAGAATTAGCAGATAAAATGTTTAAAAAAACCCAAAAACTAAGGATGTATTTTCTGTTTAAAATTTGTGTCCATCCTTTAAAGAAAAAGCAAGTACATTTATCAAGAAAAGTTGTTGATTTTGCCTTTTACATATGAATGACTTAATTAGGTCTATCTCTCCAACTGATGATAAAGATTGATGGATGATAATATTTCAAAACGGCAATTTTTGCTTCTGCCAAGCATCTCTCTATTCCAAGAATATATAGCCCTTCACAGAGCATAAATGGGTCAAGTACAGCCTAAATTAATTGGGAGAAATTGGTGTCTTTTAGGAAAGTGAAAAACAACTTTTTGGCTGATGTAAAAGGAGTTTAGCAGACATGATTGGCAGGAATTATGAAATTTTGCTCTTACTGTGGAAATGAATAAAAGTGACATCAATGACAAAACCTGCTGCTTCGTACGATGTTGCCTTCACTATCTCAGCATCTCTGAAATGCCTTTGATTGACGCTATGTAGGATTCGGGCTGTTGAAAGCTGGGGGATTAGGCAGTGGGTCTATGTAGGAGGACTCCTATTTTCTGCTGGCATTATGTGTGTTCCTAGCTATAATGCCATTTTTTGAAATTTGTATTATTTTTAACAAATTCATTATTATAAAAAAGCAAGGAATTTCTCTTGACTAGATGATAAACTTCCTGATAATATAGTTGGTAAACAACATAGCTGGTTTGAAATAATCTCAGATATTCAGGATGACCAGGAGAGTTCTGGAATAGCCAAGCCTCTACGTGTGATCAGACTCATATATTTATCCCCAGGAGCTATTTGATGTGTGTGTTTGTATCTGTGTGCTTGTACATGCATGCCATGACACACAAAAAATTGTGAACCATGGCTTGAAACATAAACTGTTAAGTAAGGTTGGCTGGTTAATAGATTTAAGATAATTTGATTGTTCATTTTCTTAAAATATTATGCTATGAAGCTCTTAGCCCACTAAGGAGTAAGAATACATACTATGGTTTATCATAGCATCACAACTATAATTCCCATTCAGAGGGCTGAGAAGTTCAGTTCTCCTTGTATTTGTGAGATACTTCCAAATAAATAGTACTGCATAAAGGACCAGCTCCATAATATATAAGACCCAGTGGAAAACAAAAATGTGAGACTCCTTGCACAAAATTTACTAAGAATTTTAAGATGATCCAACAAAGGGTTGCTACAATTCTTAAATGTAATTTAGTGGTTTTCTTTAGATACTTAAAATGATACAGTTGGAAAGGAACACTGTTAAACTATCGATAGGTAAAGGGAGGTAATTGTGATATATTTGGGAAAAGCAAGGAACTTTTAAAATCATAAGTTTGAATTCTGGTTCTTAAAAATAGTGGCAGCTCAGTTTTCTCATGTGGAAAATGGGACTTCATGGTTTTGTTTTGTTTTTTTGGACAAATATTTATTGTGAAAGCCTGATATGTATTACCTTATTTAATCCTCACTATAACATTATGAGCAGGTTGTATTGTTTTCCCCAGTTTATAGATGAGGAAACTCTGGCACAAAGCGATTTGAAGACTTCCTAAAGTGTTCACCAAGTGTTCACTAGTGACAAGTACTAGAGACAGAGCTGGAGCCTAGACGGTCTAGCTCCAGGGCCCAGACTGAAATCAGCCTGGCCGACCCCCATCTTCCAATACGTGTTACATCACTGGATCACACTGGGCATGATAACAGTAGTAACAAAAATTAAAACCCACAATTCTGGCTCAGAATTAAGGCTCACTTGCTGGCACTTACAATTTTCTAGGTCTCTAAAACCCTGAAATTTTCTCATAATTGGGAAATAATACAAATCAGGAGGTAGGTGATTTTTGTTGTTGTTGTTTAAATCTAGACAAGAGATTACAACCTGAGAAACAGCAAATCAAATAACATTCTTTTGGAGAGACACAGTATATAGTATTATACATACTGGAAGTCCCTATGAAAGGAGTTTTCTTCCCAGATGCCCCCAAATGTGTTTTTAAGATATCCTCATAAATGCTCTTCTAATAATATCATTCAAAATGAAAAGTCTAATGAAATCCCCAAGGCAGCTAAATAAGTTTAGGGAACAATAGAATACAAATAAAATCACCAGTATCCATTTAATGCCTCATTTTGATAAAGAGAAAACAGACTGGATTTTCAACATCAAATCTATTAATCAGTTACACAGTTACTCATAACTGTGAATGTGCAGGTCTGACCTAAGATCATTTTGCGCTTCCTAAAGAATTACCACTAAGAGTCAGGGTTGAACTTGGTGCTGTGGCGCATGCCTCTAGACTTACCTACTGGGGATACTGAGGTGGGATAATTGCTTGAGCCCAGGAGTTTGAGGCCAGCCTGGGCAACATAACAAGACCCCATCTCTTAAAAAAAAAAAAAAAGTCAGGGTTGGAGAGAACTCAATGACCTTGATTCCAAACCAAACTTCTCAGAAGTCCATGGAGTATACTTGGGGCATGGGGCGGGGGACTGTATGGGAGGTCTACCATAAAGGCTTAGCTCTTTCTCATTAGAAGAAAGATCCATGATTTCAATGACTGAGATCTAGAAACCTTTAGGAGCCAGAGGAATCATCACCTAGTAATTTAGCATTAACTCTGTGGTTTAGTGGTGGTCCTTTTTATGTTCAAGAGGGGGAATTGTTCAAACAATATAGTTGGTTTGAAATACTTCCAGGACCAATGCAAACACCAAGTGGGCTGCCCAGAAACCACACATTGTTTCCCTCAGACAAAAGATAATGATGCACTAATGAGTTTTACCCTTTATTGCCCTCTCTGGAACACAGCCTCAGGAAGAAAACCCACGAAACCAAATTGTTAGTCCTCAAATTTACAATATTTTGCAATGACCCCTATCCCTTTTTCTTTAAGTGCTAGTACTTGGGTTAAGTATTTGTGTTGTTTTACTCATAAATTCCAACCTCATGTAATCTCAAAAGTGCCCTCCCAGAGAGAGAAAGGAAATGAGTAAATGAGGAAAAATAATAAAAGTCTCCCTGATAATAGAATACTTCCAAGAGACTTAAAGCACTTCTGAGATATTATCTAATTCTGATGTACTTTGATCTCATTAAAGGGGGAGAAAGTAACACATTATTTTAACTATGGAGTGTGAAAGTGAGGCAAAAAGAAGTTGGACTCGTAGGTCCATTTAACAAAAATCATTTAGTAAATAATCAAAACTATGAATGGAGGAAATTAGTACCCAATTAATTAGACTTGTAAAAGTGTATGTATTGAGGATTTACAGGATTTGTTGGAATCATTTGTAGTTGTTTTATTGAAGAGCAAGCTTAATGGCACAATTGCACATCACTTGGACTGAAATCACCCACAACCCTTCCTTAACCTCATCAGTCCTCCTCCCCATTCCCGCTGCTATTTCTGTCCTATGTGTTTGTAAAATCTCCAGAAAGTCTTGCTTATAGGTATGGTTTCTACATCCTCACCTCTTTCCTATCTAATGTGGCTTCATTTTCAAAACATTTCCACTGAAAGTGTTCCCGTTAAAGTATGTTTTGTTTTGTTCAGTTTTTTTTTTGTGTTTGTTTGTTTGTTTGTTGTTTGAGATAGAGGCTTGCTCTGTAGCCCAGGCTGGAGTGCAGAGGCACAGAGGCTGGAGTGCAGGGGCACAGAGGCTGGAGTGCAGAGGAGATTGAGCTCATTGCAGCCTCGATCTCTTGGGTTCAAACTATCCTTCTGCCTCGGCCTCCTGAGTAGCTGGGAATACAGCTGTGCACCTCCAAGCCCAGCTAATTTTTAAATTTTTTTGTAGAGATGGTGTTTCACCATGTTGCCCAAGCTGGTCTCGGGCTGCTGGCCTCATGCAATCCTCCTGCCTTGGCGTCTTGAAGTGCTGGGATTACAGGTGTGAGCTATTGCTCCTGGCCTTCTTGTTAAAGTTGATAGTACTTTTTAAGGCTGGAGGACCACAGAGCTGTTTCTTATCTCTTGTTCTTCTCTAGTTTCTGTTTAAATATGTTCATCCGTATCCCTAACTTTAAGCATTGTTCTTACTCCAGTGTGTACATTTCACTCTCACCTTTCATGTAAACTTTAGAAAACCTGAGTTTTTCAAATGTAAATCTAATAGACATCTCAAACTTAACATGGCCAAAATAGAACCCTTGAGTTCTGCCTGAGACTCTTCTTCCTCTAGTCTTGCTTACTTCAAAAACTTTGCTCCAGTCTCACCTCTAATGGAATATGTGACACGTTGTTTTTATTTCTGAAACGCTTTTTTTTTTTTTTTTTTTTTTGAGATGGAATCTCGCTATTGTTGCCCAGGCTGGAGTATAATGACGCAATCTCAGCTCACTGAAACCTCCACCTCCTGGGTTCAAGCGATTCCCCTGCCTCAGCCTCCCGAGTAACTGGGGTTACAGATGCATGCCACCACGCCTGGCTAATTTTTGTATTTTTTTGTAGAGGCATAGTTTCACCATTTTGGCCAGGCTGGTCTTGAAGTCCTGACGTCAGGTGATCCACCCGCCTCAGCCGCCCAAAGTGCTGGGATTACATGCATGAGCCACCGCACCGGACTATTTCTGAAACCCTCTTAAAGCCATTTCTGTCTCTTTTTCTCCACTACCACCCTAGTGCAAACTGCCATTATTTTTCATTTGTAGATTATTCCAGTAATTCTTAAATGGTCTTCCACTTACATTCTCACCAATATACCTTTCTCTATAAAGCAGTATGAGTTAAGTTTCCAAGTCATAAAATTAGATGATGTCACTTTGCTACTCTAAACCCTGTTGTGGCTTCTCACCAAACACAGAATCCAAACATTTATCACGGTCCATAAGACCATGCATGATCTGGTCCCCATCTGCCGTATCCCCATCTCTGGATACTGGCCCCCTCGCACTGTAAGTTCCAACCATCCTGGCCTTTCTCTTCTCTTCTTCTTCTTTTTTTTTTTTTTTTTTGTAGATGGAGTCTCACTCTGTCACCCAGGCTGGAGTGCAATGGTGTGATCTCGGCTCACTGCAACCTCTGTCTCCCAGGTTAAAGCGATTCTCTTGCCTCAGCCTCCCGAGTAGCTGGGACTACAGTCGCATGCCACCACGCCCAGCTAATTTGTATATTTTTAGTAGAGATGGGGTTTCACCTTGTTGGCCAGGTTGATCTCGATCTCTTGACCTCGCGATCCGCCCGCCTCGGTCTCCCAAAGTGCTGGGATTACAGGCGTGAGCCACTGCGCCCGGTCACCTTTCTCTTCTAAGAACCTGAAGAGTTTGTCCTCATCCCAGTTCATTCTCATGCTAGCTCTTCTCTCTCCTCACACATCTGGGTATCATCCTTGCTTGTTATTCAGGTCTCACGTTGCATGCCATAGGGAAGCCCCCTAACCATTCAACCTAATTATGTCCTACCCCACACCATTCTCTCTACTACCATCATCTCTTTTTATGTCCTTCATAGAACTTCCTGCTATCTGAAAATATTTTATAACATTTACTAGTGTATTATCTGTATATCCTCTCTAGAATGTAAATTCTAGGAAAGACAGGATCATATCTGCTGTATTCCTAGTACCCACCACTGCACCTGGCACATAGTAGGCTCACAATAAGTATGTGTTGAGAATGATTAATTTACATCTCCTTGAAAGTGCCAAAGTAGTGTTGTCTAATGGAGAGTTCAGGAACAGGAATTGGGATTATAGAGGATATTAAATTTCTACTACTATCAGGGCCATAACTTTAATAACTTAAATGTATAACAAATTCTGTCAACAAACTGAAATATGAATGTGAGTATTTTACATGAAACCTTATATGGAATGATTCTGGAAACTTTTTAAAATACAGCATTTCAAACAAGTAAGATCTCAAATGTCATATTGCTTTTATCGTTTTTTTCTTTAAATCAATGCGTCAGGGAAGTAAGAATGTATTACAATTAGCAAAAAGTAGAGCAAACTGCATTCAGTGGTTAAAATTATTTTCAATAAAGTCCTCTGCTTATAAGTTCTGCGACAGAAAGCTCATGTGTGAGATCAAGATGAATAAGTAATTCATTGTGAAAAGAAGGAAAGAGCCTTAGTAGTAGGAAAATAGGTGGAATTTTAATTATAACTTCTGGAATGATTCTACTAGCCCGGTGCTGAGTTATCCAGACAAGTCACTTTTTATTTTTAAAATGTATATTTTCTATTAATATTGAAGGATATTGTCCCATTTGAAGCTGAGACTTTTCTCTTATTAATAGATATTTATTTAACACACTATTAGAAGTTTTCATACTGATGCTCTAGTCACATATATTCTTTATTCTTCACCAGTAAATTCTTCTCTTGTATTTTTCTTGAGAAAAAAATCTCCCTCAAATAATTTTCCTTTGTCCTTCACTATTCCCTTGCATTGAAATGGTAACTGGATCTTCAACATAAATCTATTATGCTTAAAAACCATTTGCCCAAGCAAACAAAAATTACAATTAAAATGGTTTGACAAGTGTACAGAGAGATGGAAAGCACATGTTCTTTTCCCTGCTTCTGCTTAACTTCTGCCTGGTCTGCCAGCTCCTTGGCCTGGTCTGGAGTTTTGAAGTGTCAGTTTCCACACTTATTCTTATTGGGGTATGAGGGGGTGCAGCAGCTGTCTCATTCATCTTTCCCTGGACCACAGACACTTGATTTCCTAAACAGATACAGTCATTCTTAGGTATCTAAAAGGGATTGGTTCCAGAATCCTCCAAGTATACTGAAATCCACGGACGCTCAAGTCCCTTTTTTCTTTGAGATGGAGTCTCGCTCTTGTCGCCCAGGCTGCAGGCTGGAGTGCAGTGTCACAATCTCGGCTTACCGCAAACTCCACCTCTCAGGTTCAAGCAATTCTCCTGCCTCAGCCTCCCAAGTAGCTGGGATTATAGGCGCCCACCACCACACCCGGCTAATTTCTTTGTATTTTTAGTAGTGACGGGGTTTCACCGTGTTGGCCAGGCTGGTCTCCAACTCCTAACCTCAGGTTATCCGCCCGCCTCGGCTTCCCAAAGTGCTGGGATTACAGGCGTGAGCCAACAGGCCTGGCCTCAAGTCCCTTTTATAAAAGGCCTATGGATATTCTCCCATGGTAAACATGGCCTATGGATATTCTCTCGTGTACTCTAAATCATCTCTAGATTACTTATAATAGCTAATTCAACAAAAATGCTATGTAAATAGTTGTTATACTGTATTTTTATTTGTATTATTTTTTATTGTTGTGTTATTTTTCATTGTTTGGGTTTTTTCCTGAATATTTTTGATAGGCAGATGTGGAACCTATGGATATGGAGTGCTGACTATACTCAAACTTATCAAATGTTAGAGTTCAAGATCTGTTAGTGAGAAACTAATGCTACTTCTAGATACCTAACTTATAATAATAATCCAAAATTAATATGTACACTAGTGTTCAAAACAGTATTACTTGTAAAACTGAAAACTGGAAACAACCTAAATAGAAGAATAATTAACTACTTTGAACACATATACGTGTTAGATTAGATAGTCATTGAAAGTTACTTGTAGTTGTCATTAATGTTTTCTAAATTCTCCAAAATTTCTACAAATAGCAAATAATTTTTGTAACCAAAATAAAATTAATTTAAAGACAAAAGGATTACGTTTTTTAAAAAGAAAAGCTGGTTACCTTGGTTCATACCTAATGCCACTTTCTACTTAATGCAGACGTCTCTTTTTTGTCTCCTGGAAGCATAATCACAAAACCTTCACTTACGTATTTTCTTAGAGAAAAAGAGAACAATATTTGATTTTTTATTAATTTAAATGTTAACCACAGACTGAATTTGTTCATCGAAAACTTTTAAATCACCACTTTAATTAATGTCTCTGCTAATTCATTTCTTTTAATTGAGGTGAAACTCACGTAACGTAACATTAACAATCTTAGGTGTACAATTCAGTGGCCTTTAGTACTGAAAAGTGTTGCAAAGTTTTGCAACCACCAGCTCTATCTAGTTCCAAAACATTTTTATTGCCCCCACAAGAAACCCCGTACTCATTAAGGAGCTGTCCTTTCCCCTCCACCCCCAGCCCCTGGCAACCAGCAGTCTGCAGTCTGTCCCTGTGGATTGACATATTCCGGATACCATTTGATTTTTTTTTTTTTTTTTTTTTTTTTTTTTTGCGACGGAGTCTCGCTCTGTCGCCCAGGCTGGAGTGCAGTGGCGCGATCTCTGCTCAGTGCAAGCTCCGCCTCCCCGGTTCACGCCATTCTCCTGCCTCAGCCTCCCGACTAGCTGGGACTACAGGCGCCCGCCACCACGCCCGGCTCATTTCTTTGTATTTTTAGTGGAGACGGGGTTTCACCGTGTTAGCCAGGATGGTCCCAATCTCCTGACCTCGTGATCCGCCCGCCTCGGCCTCCCAAAGTGCTGGGATTACAGGCGTGAGCCACCGCACCCGGCCTACCATTTGCTTTTTAAAGAGCGATAATTATTTTTATAAATGGATGTATTGAGTAAGAATATTTCTCCCAGTCTCTCTGCTCATTGGTCTCAGCTTTGCTCTACAGTAGCCCAGGAAGGCTTAACCGTAGCTTCCACATGACAGCCCTTCAAATATTTGAGAGCAGCTCTCAGGGATCATGAGTTCTTGACACCCCATCACTACCCTCTCCAGTACTTACTTCCACCAAATACAGATGATCTTCTTCATATTGAATATGCAGAATTCCTTCTATGGCCCCTTCTACCATAACAGATGCCTGCCTACAGATTCTCTTCCGCTTCTTAAGTTCCCATTCAATGTGTGTTGCCTGAAAGAGATTCGAACTTCATGGGAAGCTGGGGAGAGAAAGGGGCAGGGAGGTCATAAGAGTCAAATGAGCACCGGGTGCAGTGGCTCATGCCTGTAATCCCAGCACACTGGGAGGCTGAGGCGGGCGGATCACCTGAGGTTGAGAGTTCGAGACCAGCCTGACCAACATGGAGAAACCCCGTCTCTACTAAAAATACAACATTAGCTGGGCTTGTTGGTGCATGCCTGTAATCACAGCTACTCGGGAGGCTGAGGCAGGAGAATCGCTTGAACCCAGGAGGCAGAGGTTGCAGTGAGCCAAGATCGTGCCATTGCACTCCAGCCTGGGCAACAAGAGTGAAACTCTGTCTCAAAAAAAAAAAAAAAAAAAAAAAAATCAAATGAGCTGGCTCCTGGGCAAGCCTCTGCTTGGACATGCATGCTGACCTTCACTACACCTGAGTTGGAGTGAGCCAGGTCCCTGGTTCACACCCTGTCCACTGGGCCCGGTGCAGGGGCCTCTCTCAACATGACCCTCCATAGAGCTGCAGAAGGCACAGCCCACAGGCTGGAGAAGAAAGGCATCCTAATTGGAAACACATGTCACAATTACTTTCAAATCCTCTCCCTCACATCTTCCTGTCACAAATCATTAAAGAAGTCCTCTACTCTAAACATGGGGAAATTGCTCAAAGAAAGAAGAGATGTTAGATCTAAATTTCAATTAACTCTAACACTGATTGCTACGTATCACTGCATTAGTCTCTGGTCCTTATTAATGAGGATATAATTAATGAAGTTTGCCCCAGGCAATGGACCAGAGCCCAAATAATTACATTTTAGACAAATAATTTGGGCTTTGTTTTTCAGAGTATGGGGTGCTTATTAAAAATATCAATTCTCAGGTTCCAGCTCAGATCTTGAGTCAGGGAATTCTGGAAGTACGTGGACCTGGAATCTGCATTCCCAGGTGTGTTGTGTTCATAATGAAGTTTGAGATCCACTTATAAAAGAAAAAGAAAGTCGTTTATTGAATTTGTGTTGCATACAAGTAATAGATTGTTAATAGAACTTGCTCTATGGAAAAATGTGCCAATACTTGTGTTTGGAAACAATGTATTAAAAAATACTTGATAAGCTTGGCTTAAGGTATAACTGGTTCTGTTTGATGTTAACAAGAAACATTCTCTACAAATACTTCAAAAGTTCAGTAGAAGTCCTTTTTATTTACATTATTTATAATTAGGCTGATCCTAGGAAAGATCTAAACAGTTATAAAAGGCAGAATGGACACGAAACAGCACGAGCACATGTGCACTCAGTAAATATTTGCTGCATGAATGGTACACTTACATTTGCTTTATTTCCAAAATAAAAAGGCCAAGAACTGATTCTCCTAACCTCCCAGACGTTCCCCTTCTCAAATATCAGTTATATTCTGGCTGTTTGAATATGAGCAAATACAACATCTACAGTTTCTCTGAAACATTAGATGTGTGTTCTTTCATTCAATAAATATGTATTGGTCATCTACTATGTGTCCAGGACCTGTGCTAAAATCCAGAGATACAGTGGTGAACAAAACAGACTTAGTCTCTACCCTGATGAAGTTTTCCATTGTAGAGAGCTAGTAAGTTAGGTATTTGGAGGAGAAGGTTAATTATTTGAGAAACAAGCAAAATTTCAGAAAAATAGAGGGAATTTCAAGCCCAGGCACCAGCTCGGCACGTACCTCATTGTTTAGCTTTTCAGGATGATGTATCTTGGGTTCCCAATGCTGTGGGTCAGAAAACACTTTCCATCCTCTCTAGTTATTTCATTTACTTCACTTAGAGTAGATCCTTAAATATTTGGAAGGGCAGACAAATTATGGTTTATCAGCAACATTTTAAAGCATAGTCAATAGGATTCTGTACACATCGTCTTCACTTCTTCCTCTCTGCAATCTTGTTTCCCTCCCACCCCCACCCTCCTTCTCTGAAATTCTTCCACCAAGGTGACCTCTCTCCATCCAGTGAAGACTTTTCAGCCTTTCCCTCATCTGCCTTCTTATAGCCTTTGCTATTCCTGCTTTTCCTTGTCTTCCTTTGTAGATTTCCTTACTTCCTTGAAAAGCTGGTATTCTAGCCAGGCACAGTGGCTTATGCCTATAATCTCAGCATTTTGGGAGGCCAAGGTGGGCGTATCACTTGAGGTCAGGAATTTGAGACCACCTTGGCCAACATGGTGAAACCCTGTCTCTACTAAAAATACAAAAATTAGCCGGGCATGGTGGCACATGCCTGTAATCCCAGCTACTTTTGGGAGGCTGAGGCAGGAGAATCGCTTGAACCCAGGAGGCGGAGGTTGCAGTGAGCCAAGATTGCACCACTGCACTCCAGCCCGGGTAAAAAGAGCTAGAGAAAGAAAGAAAGAGAGAGGTAAAGGAGGGAGGGAGGGAAGGAGGAAGGAAGGAAGGGAGGGAGGGAGGGAGGAAGGCAGGAAGGCAGGCAGGAAGGAATGGAGGGAAGGAAAAAGCTGGTGTTCCCCTGAGTTTCACTCTCAGCCCACTTTTCTTCTTACTCTACCGCTCAGTAATCTTATTACCCACACAGAGCTGGGCATCGCTGGAGAGCAATTTTCTGAGGCCCGTGTTCTACCAGACATCTTTTATTCCTTGTGCCATAGAAACTCCCTGCCCTGCCCAAAACCAGCTCTTCCTCCGATATTCTCTATCATGGTGAATACCAGCCCCGGCTCCAGCCCCATCATCCAGTTGCCTGAAGCAGCTACCTAGATGTCCCCCTTCTTCATTGTTGTGTCACTCAATCCCTTCAACACGCTAAAGCCCAAGCATCTGAAATGTTTCCTTCACCCCTAGCCCCATCACCACTTAGCTCAGGCTCACATTGTCTTTCATGGCTTACTCAAACAGCCAATTCCCTAGCCTCCAATGTCCAGGTTTATTGTCCCTTTCGGTTTCTTTGTCTTATTCCAGGGAGGAAGTCAATGTCTTATTCTTCTTTGTATCTCAAACCTTAGGAAGGTGCATGGAACATGGAAAATGAATGAATGAATAAATTAATGTGCACAACTTTAACAAAAGTGCTGCCTAGCATAGCCTCATAAATGGAGAATGCTTTTGGTATTGGTGTTCATTTTTAATCCGTTTTCAACACTTTTTTTCTTCACTTTTCCCGTAACTCCCATATCCACTGGCATGTTTTAAGTCTCCTGATTGATTGTTTCTGATTATGTTTGTTTTCCTTGGTCGAGAGCCTTGAATTTGCACTCTAATTTGTCTGAATTCAGCATCAGTTGTCAATAAAGCTAACTTGAAAAAGGCAGGGTGCGTAAGACTTAACACCGACGAAACCAGACTTCTTGTTTCAATTAAATTACTTAATATGAGACTTTCCAGTCCTCTATGGACCCATTAGCTAATAGACTGTTCTGAAAAACTGTCAGGAAAGAGAGGCTGCAGAATTCAAGAGACTTGAGTGAGTGACTAGGAGAGGAATGAAGCCTGAGGTCTTTCTTTATAACATTTTCATGTGGACATAAAATTTTTACATATCAAAGAGTTCAAGAATGACTTATTCTTCTTGCCCAGAATCATTAATGATATTCTCATGCTTGCAAATAATAATATAATAATATGCTTTAATATACTTCAGTGTACTGTTCTCCAAACATTTTTAGTTCTAAATCTATGACCTCTCACACTTTTTAATTGACATCTAAAATTTGCAGTAGATATTATGTAAAGAGTATTGCAAACTGGATCTTTTTTTTAAAAAAATGGTTATACCACGTTTTAAAATGTCTCCAGAGGAATATAAATACCATTGCTATTTTATACCCACTATTATACACTTTTTAAGAAAAATACATGTAGAAATACTCCCTAAAGGAAATTTTACATTTTTTTCTCCTTAATTCATATTTCATTGTAGTTCTACCCATAGAACTATTTCATAATAGGTTTTATATATAAAAGGCTTTTCACCATATCATTCTTTTTTTTTTCCTATCATTCTTTTCTATGACAAAAAGAATGCATGTAGATTTTGATTTTAATAATGTGGTCACATTAAAGTATTTAAATTTTGGGGATTAATTTTTTTGGCTCTTTGGATTGATTACACATTAGAGTGAAGAACAGTATTTGATAAAAAAAGGCATAAATATACCCAGTAACACTGAAAAAAGAGGGCAAAATAGCATAAATATTTTATAAATTTAGTAAGTAATTATTAAATACAAAAAGGTAAATTTCAATTATTTTCATCTCTTAAATAGATGCCCCATGAATGGAGTTTTTTTATTGTTGTTTTTGTTTTCATATATGAATACTACTTTTTCCTAGAAAGAAGACAGGGCTCAGCAGACATTCCCTACTGTGCGTGTGTATGATTATATAGTATAATCATATATGCAATACATACTGTATTAGTCGGCTATAAAGAAATATCTGAGAATGGGTAATGTATAAAGAAAAGAGATTTAATTGGGTCACAGTTCTGCAGGCTGCACAGGACGCATGATGTTGGTCATCTGCTCAGCTTCTGGGGAGGCCTCAGGAAACTTACAGTCATGGCGGAAGTTGAAGTGGGAGCCAGCACTTCTCACATGGCCAGAGCAGGAGGAAGAGAGAGATAGGGGAGGTGCCACACCCTTTTAAACAACTAGATCTTGTGACATCTCTATCATGAGCACAGCACTAGGGGAATGGTGTTAAACCATTGGAAACTGCCCCCATGATCCAATCACCTTCCACCAGGCCCCACCTCCAACATTGGGGATTATAATTTGACATAAGATTGGGGCGGGGACATAGATCCAAACTATATCATCTATTATATATATAACATATACTAAGGAAATGTGTTCACATAAATAGAATATAATACAATGTATTTTCTTAACAGCAATGTCTTGATTTCTTAAAATCCTTCAAACTTAGACGTGAAAAAAATCTAACAGCAATCATTATCAAAAATTATTTTTGGTGATATATTAGCTGTTAATGTAATTAGATTCTCCTTTAATTTTGGTTTAAAGAAAATTATGGGAAACAGCCTGACTTGCAAAAGGAACTGATTAGTCATTTACTTTTTAGTGAGGGTAACAATATTTAGAATTGTCCCTTTGCTTGGTGCCCTAGAGCCTTTTTTTGTACTTTAGGCGATATACCACAATAAGAGTGGGTTGGATGGGAGCTATCACTTTCTTCTGTCAAGTGCAAGAAGAGAGGCAGGAAAGGATAATCTGTCCATTCTATTGTAGGCACTTCCTCAACAGATCTCGTGGAAGAAAAGAAAAAATGGAAGTTGAGGATTTGTATATTGATTCCCCTAAAACTACCCTTGTACTCATACCTCTTGGAAAGCCTACGGGTAGCCCCCGAGGGTTAGACATATGCTGATTTGAAGACCAGTTACCCAGAATTGCTGTAGTAGTTAAGATGAGAAATAACAAAGAATATTAGATCAGTGATTGAAGGAGCAAAGAGGGGTGGAACACACTTTGAAATAAAAGGAAGATGAGGACCTGCAAAAATTATTAGTACTGAACAGTTTTTTTCCATTTTTTCAAATATTCCATTTTTAATAATTATGTTCACTTCTGATTTTGATAGCTAGATAGGCATTAAATTATTGTGATTAAAGGCTTATGTAGAAAGTGTCACTCCTATTGAGAAGTTAAGCCAGTTTCAAGTTCTTCTTTATAGTTTTTAAAAATAGAAAAAATGTCACATCTATACTAGTGTAGGTAAAACCTGGTCAATCATCCAGTCCTTCATTCATTCATAAATTAATAAACATTTAAAACTATGCTCTAGACCCACTGTAAGTGACTGTGGAAACAAAGATTAAATACCCCTCTCTTCCAATTACTTAGACTCCAGTGGGGGAGAAAATGTGCAGACAATAGCTACACCACATCTATTGGCTATATGAAGGCAGTCTGTCATGACCATGGCGAAAATAAAGAGCACAGGAAACATGTATGGTTTCACAAAGGAAACAGCATTTTATTGAAGCCTAAGTGACTAACAGTGGCCAGAGAAATAATATCTCAGGCTAAAGCAATAGCTATATGGGAGTGGAAAGCAGCCTTGCATGTGGTAGATAGAACACATAGTTTTGTGCATTTCAAGCATAAGGTGTAAGGTAAAGGGATACTATCTGATGGGACAGGAAGAAGACAAAGATTGCAGAAGGCCTATGCATTGTGCCAAAGACTTTGAACTTGTTTGTAAGTGACGAGAAATCTTTAAAGGGTTTAATGTGAAGGAATAACACAGACAGATTTGCAGGTTAAAATGTCCACTCTGATAGGAGCTGAGAAGATGGATCTGAGAGTGTGAATCTGAAGGGAGAAGGGAGGCCAGCGAAGAGACTAACACAATGTTCAGATGATGAGGATCTAAACCAAAGTGGTAACAGTGGGATTAAGAAGTGAGGAATGAAAGAAGATGAGGTCTTGTTGATGGACTTAATATACGGGAAGATAAACTGGGATACTCTCCAGTAGCTGTGCAAAAGTGATTTAAATACTAAAGAATTTAACTCACGAACACGAAGTCCAGAGGTAAGCAGTTCCAGGGCTGCTGAGTACAGTGGCTTAATAACATAATCAAGAATCCAGTTGCTTTCCATTTTGTGCTCTATACTGCAAAGATTTGATTTGCATCCTGTGCTTGCCCCTCATGGAAGCTGCTAAAGCCTCAGTCATCACATCCTTGCCTAACCACAATAAAGACCTGAATGGTAGTTTCTCCTGGCATGTCTCTTTTCATCAGGGAATAAAAACTTTTCCAAGGAGGCTGCACCTTGCCTCACAGTTACCTTATTGCCCATGCTTAAATCAGTCGCTTGCAAGGACAGTGGAATAACCAATTGGCTTGGACCAACCACCTTTCAACTCCACGGTGTGTAGAAAGGTCTATGAAGAACTTGAAATTCAATACCTGAACAAATTATGGTTCTGTTAGTAAGGAAGAATGGAGATCTTGACTCTTAGGAAGTAAGTGAACAGAGTCTGTTCAAATTCAACTTTCTGGTTGAGGTGAAAGGATCGGTGCTGTTCTGTTCATTGGGATAGCATCTATCAGAGGAATGATGAGTGGGAAGATATGAAAAGATTTGGAACATATAGAATTTGAGGTGCCTACAGGACATTTGGGGAATGTTTGATAGGCAGTTGAGTAGAGGGTCTATGAGTCATGAGCAGAGAGCTAGTTGAAGTCGTAGGCATGAATGAAATTCTTAGTAGAAATGTGAGGAATGAGAAGACAGGGTTATGGAAAAAATTCTTGGGGAACACCAACCTTTAAGAGGAGAGCACAGAAAGAAAAATCACGAAAAGATACTGGAAGAGTGAAGCAAAATAATTGAAAAATATTTTCTCAAGAGTTTCAGAGGAAAAAGGGGTTACAGTGATAGTTTCATCAGGCTTTGCTATGTGCTCTGTCACCATTCCTCCAAACTAACATACAGCAAGTATAATGAAGTAGCTTGAAGTAAGAGTGAACAGGAAAAGTTGGTGGGTTGCATGGACAGGATATTTTTGATTTTGTTCAAAGCATTTTAGACAGGCCTCTTGAATTTTTATGTATACAGAGACAGAAAAGCTATACTCTGCTCCGAGGGAAGTGGACGTCTGCTATTTTAGCTCTCACTGGACACAGAATGCTGTCCTAGGAAGGTCGAAGAGGGGGTCTTTGGGCTGTGGAATCACGAGAGCATGATTGGTGTTTCGGGCAGCAGTCTAAAATCTTTATCTGAAAAAAAAAATATTTAGGTACTGCCTAATGGCTGCAGAGAACAATGTCACTGGCTGTAAAATTCTAATGGATAGCTTCTGATTTCTTCCTTCCTTTCAAATAAAACTCATGGTCCTTTTTGCTCGGAGGGTTCTTGGGTTTTGATGTGATTTCAGTGTCACATTCTTCTGACAGCAACAAGGTCCAGAGGGTGGCAAGTGTCATTAACACCATTTTACAGGGGAGAACCCAGAGAAGCCTGGGAGTGAGTCACACGGGGTCACAACATGGGCAGCTCAGGGCCCAGAAACCATGTTCTCCCTCCCATCCGCACATGGATGTACCCTAGAGAGAAGCAGCCCACTTGTGTATAAACGCACAGCTTTCCAAGCGCTTCCTCATTCATCTCCTTATTTAATTTAATGCTTTGCTGCCATCTTGCTTCAGCATTCCATTTCCTATCCTGAATTTATCCCAACAATTTCTTCAAAGATTTAGAACGTTGATTACAAATTCCCTAATGATGCATTTGCTGTCCAGAAGTCAAAGTAAGTAATGATAGTATCATTTCTTCTCTGTTGAAAACCTTTTTAAGAAAACATAATATAATTTTTCCAGATGAAATTAAGCTTCTCCTGGAACAAAATGATAGTCAGTGTTCCACTCAGGCAATGTCACTTGGAAAAGTAAATGAATCCATTTGGATTTCAAACTTCTGAGTCATGTGGGATGCCCTGATCTTTCTGCTTTGAAGTTGCAAGTCACTTCCTATTATTTCCATGACAGTTCAGAAGATTTATAGTTGGAAATTCTTATTTTTCCTTTCCTCATATTTTAATTTCTCTCACTTCGGGTAAGTTGTAATCATTTATTTTCAGTCACACAGCCATGGCATTTGAGCTTGCTGTACAATCAGAGAGATGCAAATTAAAATCATCATAAGATGCCATCTCAAATGTTTCAGATAGGCAAAAGGCGATGAATCTGGTAACACCAAGAATTAGCAAATATGTGCACCAGCAGGAACTCACATATTACCCAGGGGAAAGGATACTGGTACTGGCATTTGGAAAGCAACTCGGCACAACTTAGTCAAGCTCAAGTTGTACATATCCTGTGACCCAGCATTTCCACCGCCCGGTGCCTCCTCTAGAAAAACTCTAACAGATGGGCATAAATAAACACATGCCAAAATGTTCAGTTCAGCACTATTGGCAATAGTGAAAAACTGGAAGCAAAAAAACTGTTCCTCCATAAGCTGAATGAATAAACTGTGCTTTAATATTCAGTGGTGGGGATAAACAGGCTCCTTCTACAAATATCCATGTGCATAAAATCCCAAACACATATCTCTTGGGGAAAAAGTTGCAAAAGAGTGTGATATAATTTATGTAAAGATTATCGGCTGGGCACGGCAGCTCACGCTTGTAATCCCAGCACTTTGGGAGGCCAAGGCGAATGGATCACTTGAGGCTAGAAGTTCGAGACCAGCCTGGCCAACACGGTGAAACCTTGTCTCTATTAAAAATACAAAAAAAAAAATTAGCCAGGTGTGGTGGTGGGTGCCTGTAGTCCCAGTTACTCGGGAGGCTGAGGCAGGAGAATGGCGTGAACCTGGGAGGCGGAGCTTGCAGTGAGCCAAGATCGCGCCACTGCACTCCAGCCTGGGCAACAGAGCAAGACTCTGTCTGGAAAAAAAAAAAAAGATTATCCACACACACAAACATACTCTGATACACAGAACATGAGCAGCAAAAGCATCAACAGGAACGACGAATACCAACTTTGGGATGCTGGTCATCTCAGTGAGGGATGAGGAGATAGGAGAGCATTTTAGCTTTACTTATATTAACATTTTCAAAACTGAAAGATTGCAAAATAAAAATGGGAAATGTCAGTATTGTTTTCATCTTTCTGGTGAGTACCTATTGTTATATTTTCTGTTTTGCTCTCTGTTTGAAATGTTTCATAGTTAGAAATTTTAAAATTGAAAGCTACTTTTCTGGCAAAAGAGTTCAACACTAAAGAGAAGGCAAAGATTGAATTGGATAGAAAATGTTTGGAGCAGGACTTAGCAAAGTGTTTCTGTAAAAGCCCAGAAAGTAAATATTTTAGACCATGGGCATTATATTCAGGTCTCCACCACTCACTCTGCCCTTATAGCACCAAAGCAGCAGCCATAGACTAAATGAGTGGCTGTGGCTGTGTTCCAACATAACTTTATTTACAAAACAGATCTCAGGTTGGGTTTGGCCTGTGGGCCATAGTTTGCCTTAGTTTATAGAAGCTGGGGGTAAGTGGTTTCAGCAAGCAAGCAATCTTTGGCTGCGAGGATGATCCCTGATCCCAGGGCCAAGAAACATCGACCTCTGTCTCTAAAGGTTTAACTGAAGAGCCAGACCACCACCCTCCCAGCCTAAGAATCCAAGTCATCGATGAAGTGCCTTTAGTAGCTGAGGCTGTGGCAGTACTAAACCTCATAAAAATGACCTCTGAAGTGTAATCTTGTTGGGAGTTTTGTTTGGTTCTGCCATGGTTTTCACTTGGGTAATGGGAGCAAGTTTATCCCAGATGTGCCTATCAGTATTCAGCTATTCAGCCCTGGGGACTTCCCTTCAACTTTCCAAGAATGCCATAAAATCCTCAGGTTGTAGAAAAAGTTTCAGCCCCACGCCATTCACCATTCCTGCACAGCCCAGGGCTAACTTGATTTGACTTCTAAAACTCAAGAAGGCCACTCTTGGAGTGAGTTCATCAGCTTAGCTGTACCCTTTGCCATTGGTCACTTGCATTTGCCTGTCAGGAAGGATGACTCAGCACTACTGTATTCTTTCCTAGAAATCAGGAAGTTTTATTGTTCAAGCTCCTGTTGTAGAACCCCTGTTCAGGTCTTGCCACTTTTAGGAACGGCTGATAGAAGGGGCCTGTGATGGATTCCTTAGCTGCCTAAATACTAGCTTGCTTTGGCCTGTGCAGTCCTTATTCTGGTATCTACAGAGGCCAGGCCTGAGGGCGTTCACTTAAAAGGAAAGCACTTCCACTACCTCTCTCTTTGCACAACCAACTTTGGCCAACCCAGTCTGCTTAGACCATCAGCATTTACAGTCCTGGCACCCCTTGTAAATTGAGAACATGGTCAGGCCAGAAAGATGGTTAATAAAACCAACAGGATTTATTTATGAGTTTCTTCTGATACAAGCCAAATACAAGATGTGAGAATAAAATGAAGTATCCTCGTGCTGTCGTTACCGGCAGGGGTGGCAACATTCCTGAAAGGTTAATTGTGTGCCAACCATTTTTCTGATTAGCAAAGTGGTTCAGGACAGAGTGGGACTTTCTATAAAGTGCTAAATTCAGCTCCTGGCGGGGCCGCTGACATGCTTGTGCAGGGATGATGAGCGAACGGACAGAGGCAAGCAAGAGAACGGACGTTCTCTCCCCTGGTGAACTCTGCACAGCCAAGGGCCAGCAGTGTAGGTGCCGTTAGCAGTTGCTGGCTCAACTGCCTGAATGCTCTGAAGTAGGAGGATACAGCCTCACAGTCACTGTGGGTCACCATGGCCGAACACCTCTTGCCTACTTACCTGTCTGACAGTGAGATGCCAGATCCTTGGCCATCTTACTATTGCTATGTGTGAAGGAGAAAAGAAATGAGATGTAGGAAAGGAAAAAGAGAAGAGACTGACTTCGCCCCAGTCATCGAGATTTCCTCAACCACTTTTCCCCCTTCCTGAAAGTTGAAGGTTTGCATTTTTGCTTAGCTTCCCGTGAGACCTAACTTCTAAGGATGATTGCCAGATGTTTTGAAAACATGTTAATGAGTTCAAAGAATGCCCAGCACCACATCTAATACTATTGGCCCTAAGAGGTTTTGCCTCAAATTGATCTGATTTAGCTCTGTCAGCTCTGTCTTAGCTCTGTTCTCTCTGATAAGATCTAGGACCTGTTGAAGGAAAGCGTGCATTTTTGAGTCTATCAGCCATGCATGTGAAGCTGTTACTGGAACTAGGAATTGAGGACCAGACTGACTCTGTCAATCTTTCCTGGCTGGGACTTGCAAACTCTTGGTTATGTTTACTCAGAATGTTAATAATTTCGGAAATTATTAAAATGGAACCAAAATACTTTCTTTTTAAGAGGCTATTGAGATCACAAATCATTCCACAAATATAATAAGCTATGTAAGCTGAGCGAGTCCAATACTTGACACTTGGCCTGAGCCAGCTGGAAGCGTGGCCATTTTCATATGACATTTCATGTGTGCAACTAAGGAGGCATGAGAAAAACCCTTTAAAAATGAGGCGTTAAAATTTTAATAATTGTGCTGGACAAAATGTTTTTGCAAAAAAAAAAAAACTTTTTTTTTCTCCTTTCTGCTTTCAATTTTTTTTTTTTACTCCCTTTGCCCAGCGTCATCGACAGTACCAAACCCTTTGCTTTTGCCCATATCATCGCCCTGAGGAATCCTGTTCAGATTTCAAGGGACCCACTTACTTGTGACTTCCTAAGCTCCTCCTGCTCCTTCTCCAGGTAGAACCGATGCTTTTCCCTTTCGCCCTCACTATACTTTGTGGCCATTGGATCCCACCAGAATTGGGTGAGGCAATTTTTAGAAATACAGATCTGAAACCCCACCCCAACACTACTGACCCAGAATGCTTTGGGGCCTGTATCAAAAGATCTCATGTACTCCATAAATATATATACCTATTATGTACCCACAAACATTAAAAATTAAAAAGAAATTTAATTAAAACTTTTTTTAAAAAGAATGCTTCTTGAGCCCAGGAATGTGCACTGTAAAGTACCACAGGTGATTCAGATGTCGTTGGTCACAGGATCACTACCACAAGGACCCAGGCCATTCTTCCTAAATACCTTTGTCACGCAGTCACGTGCATGCCTTTCTCTGGCTTCTTAATTACAGACTTGTTGAAGGCAATGACCTGTATAGTATCCATATTTCGTTCAACATTTTTTTTTTTTGAGATGGAGTTTCACTCTTGTTGCCCAGGCTGGAGTGCAATGGCATGATCTTGGCTCACTGCAACCTCTGCCTCCCGGGTTCAAGCGATTCTCCTGCCTCACCCTCCTGAGTAGCTGGGACTACTGGGACTACAGGTGTGTGCCACCACGCCCAGCTAATTTTTTTGTATTTTTAGTAGAGACGGGGTTTCACCATTTTGGCCAGGCTGGTCTCAAACTCCTGACATCAGGGGATCCGCCCACCTTGGCCTCCCAAAGTGCTGGGATTACAGGCATGAGCCGCTGAGCCTGGCCTTAACACATTTATTGAGTGCCTACTGTACACCAGGCACTGTTCTGAGAGCAGGAGACATGGCAATGAACAAAACAGGCAGGTCTTCTCTCTTGGACCTTACATTCCCAGGAGAAAAGTCAGACAAGAAAGACAAGTGTGATTATGAAATACTATCTCGTTAGATGATAAGTTCCCTGGAGGAAGATAAAGCAGGGAAGGAGGAGACGGTGACGTCCACGATGGTGGTGAAGGTAACTCTAAGCCTTCGCTACAGAGGTGGTAACCGAGCAAAGAGTTGAAGACTGTGAGGAAGAAGGCCAAGTAGACATTTGGGAGAAAGACAAGGTAAGGCTCTAGAGCACAAGAATGCCAAGCTCATTCTAGAAACAGATAGGCTATTTCCAGTATGGCTGGAGCAGAGTGAGCAAGTGGGAGAGAGGACGGAGGAGGCTGGTGAGATGCAGGGGAGTGGGGAGATCTTGTAAAGGCTCGTCCGACCCTGTGAGAACTTTGCCTTAGCCTGGCCCAGTGGCCTGTAATCCCAGCACTTTGGGAGGCCGAGACCGGCAGATCACTTGAGGTCAGGAGTTCGAGACCAGCCTGGCCAACATAGTGAAACCCTGTCTCTACTAAAAATACAAAAATTAGCTGGGCCTGGTGGCGCGCGCCTGTAATCTCAGCTACTTGGGAGGCTGAGGCAGGAGAATTGCTTGAACTTGGGAGGCAGAGGTTGCAGTGAGCTGAGATCGTGCCACTGCATTCCAGCCTGGTGACAGAGTGAGACTCCATCAAAAAAAAAACAAAAACAAAAACAAAAAAAACCTTTGCCTTATTCTCTAAGATACTGGAATTCACAAAGCCTATGACAGTGCTTACTCCAGAATAAACGTTCCATGGATACTTGATGAATAAAGGAATCATCTCCAAGGTGGCATGCAAAGGCCTCTTGTGGTTTAGACTTAGACTAAGACTCAGAGAAATAATTTTAGCATAGATATTTTAACGTAAATATTTTTAACAAAGAGGCAGCTATACTCACCCAGAGCTCAGATTCTGGAGCCGGGATGCCTGGATTCAAATATTTCACATACTGGCTATAGAATCTTGGCAGCCTGTCAATGCCTTAGTGTCCTCATCCATAAAATGAAGAAAATAATAGTACCTACTTCATAGAACTCAGATCATTAAATACGTCTATACATGAAAGTAAACTGTAAGTGTTTGATGTACTTTGAGAATCAATAAATATTTGCTATTACCATTAGCATGGATATATTTAAGACGTAAAAAATTCAAACATTTAACATATTTAATATTCAATTTTAGTTATTTCTATATACTCATGATTGATAAATATAACAACTGATATATACTATATTACTATATGATACATATGATGTATATATAATTGTTACATGTCCATTTTAGGGTATACATGTTAAAAGAATGGGAATTCATGGAGTCCTAGAGAAGGTAAAACAGAAAATGAGTAAACATAAAGATGATGATGATGTTGGTAACAGCTACATTGGTAGCTACCGTTGTAAAAAGAGATCAGAGTCCTCAATATTGCTGGGTATTAGTGTTCCTTGGGGCTACTACTAAAAATACAAAAATTTAAAATGTGAATTACACTTTGAAGTCTATCTTTCACTTTAGTCAGACTTTGGCTTGTGCCCTGCAAGCCACGTTTTAGATAGCATGAGAATAATTTCTGTCCAATTCTCATTCCTATTGAATTTGTGTCATAGTCTCCTAATACAAATGAGATGACACTTTGCATTGTCATCAGACAGTTTTAATACAGCTAGGGAAATTTCTATTTTTTTATTCTTATTTTTTTTTCTGAGCCGGAGTCTCACTCTGTCGCACAGGCTGGAATACAGTGACGCCATCTCGGCTCATTGCAAGCTCCGCCTCCCGGGTTCACGCCATTCTCCTGCCTCAGCCTCCCAAGTAGCTGGGACTACAGGCGCCCGCCACCACGCCTGGCTAATTTTTTGTATTTTTAGTAGAGACAGGGTTTCACCGTGTTAGCCAGGATGGTCTCGATCTCCTGACCTCGTGATCCGCCTGCCTCGGCCTCCCAAAGTCAGCTAGGGAAATTTCTTAATTCACACCTGGGAATTAGTTTCTACTAGGAGACTCTAATTTATGACTCATTTGAATGATTTGAACATCTGTGTGCAGATGTTAAATGCTAATGTTATTATTCATATGTAATAATACAGATGCAACTAGTAATTTTTCTAGCCTATGTCCAGTTCTATCTTTAATACTCATTTTTAAAGAAACTTGTGAACGACACCCATCTTCTCTCTACTTTGTACTTACTAATTTTTGTAATCACATCCATGTCTGCTGGTTAACATTGATGGCTCTGGAGGTAGATGTCTGGCTGGCTTCAAATCCTGGGCCATTGTTTAGTGGTTGTGTGACCTCAGGTAAATGACTCAACTTCTGTGGGCCCCAGCCTCAGTTTCCTTCACTGTAAAGTGACCCCTTCACTGTAAAGGGGTCATAATACCACCTCCAACTGAAGGCTATTTTTAGGATGAAATGAGATATACATGTAAATGAGATGTACTCTTAGGACAGCACTTGGCACAAAGTAAAACACTGTAAATATTGAGTATTAACTATTATTGGTACTTCTGCAAACTGGCTTGAGGTCTCTCTTCCCAGCATTTGCTTTGTACTTCTGTAACTGTTCAACACGCGTGTTTTCTAACTGCATTTACTGCATAAGTTACTGGCCATTTTGTCCGCCTCCTTGCCTTCCAGGCATTATTTGGGGTGCAGTCCTAACTGCCTACACTTGTACCATTTAATCCCTTTTCACCTCCAGCTGCCCCTGGGCAGCCATCAGTCTGCCATGCCCCACCTGACTGTCACTGCTAGTAAAACCGTACAGCATTAAAAAGACGTGGTGGCTCACGCCTATGATCCCAGGGCTTTGGGAGGCTGAGGCAGAGGAGCGCTTGAGGCCAGGAGTTCCAGACCAGCCTGGGTAACATGGTGAGATCCCGTCTCTACAAAAAAAAATAAAAAGAAAGTAGATGGGCGTGGTGGTGCAAGCCTGTAGTTCTAGCCACACAGGAGGCTGAGGCAGGAGGATCCCAGAGTTTGAGCCTGCAGCAAGCTACGTGCCCCTGCACTCCAGCCTGGGCAACAGAGCCAGACCATGTCTAAAATAAAAAAAAAAATAAGTAAGATTGATCCCGTACTCTACGGCCCTTCACAGCCAGCCCCTCTCTTTTCTCGTTTGCAGGATGTTCTGGAAGCTTTCCCTGTCCTTGTTCCTGGTGGCGGTGCTGGTGAAGGTGGCGGAAGCCCGGAAGAACCGGCCGGCGGGCGCCATCCCCTCGCCTTACAAGGACGGCAGCAGCAACAACTCGGAGAGATGGCAGCACCAGATCAAGGAGGTGCTGGCCTCCAGCCAGGAGGCCCTGGTGGTCACCGAGCGCAAGTACCTCAAGAGTGACTGGTGCAAGACGCAGCCGCTGCGGCAGACGGTGAGCGAGGAGGGCTGCCGGAGCCGCACCATCCTCAACCGCTTCTGCTACGGCCAGTGCAACTCCTTCTACATCCCGCGGCACGTGAAGAAGGAGGAGGAGTCCTTCCAGTCCTGCGCCTTCTGCAAGCCCCAGCGCGTCACCTCCGTCCTCGTGGAGCTCGAGTGCCCCGGCCTGGACCCACCCTTCCGACTCAAGAAAATCCAGAAGGTGAAGCAGTGCCGGTGCATGTCCGTGAACCTGAGCGACTCGGACAAGCAGTGAGCGCCGGGCCGGACGCAGCTCAGCCCCGCGCGCGCCCGGCCGCTGGGTGGCGCCGCCGCCGCCTCTGTCCCTGCCCTCCGAGCCCACTGTCACGCTGCCTGGTGTTCCCCCTCAGCAGCAAGCACTTCTCTTAGGGCTGACGGTGTCCTTGTCACAGACGTGGATCGCAAGTGGAGCTTTTGCTGATGTGTTCCTGACCGACCCCGGGTCCCACCTGTGCCCCCTAAACCAGGCGGTGGATCAGGCCCGAAGGAAAATGCTGGAAAACCACCACCGCCACCCAGCAGTCAGAGAGGACCTTTCGAGGTGATGCACTGTAAATCCGGCATTGATGTTTCCACCATGTGGAAAAGCAAGGATTTCCCTGGCCCCGCCCTGCACTCCAGCTCGCCCCTTTCCCGCGCGAAGTGAAGGATGCGTCACTTTTCTGAGCGGCCCCTCAGACCTCTCCTGCTGGTCCCTGGACCTCTGGCTGGGAGCGCTCATTCTTGTGACTGGCAGGCTGCCCTCGGTCGCTGCTGTGATGAGGATATGTGCAACCTCCATAAATATGTCGGTGGACGGGGCGTCTCCTAATAAACCTGATACCAAGAAGACAACTTGAGCCACTTGGATCCCGAAGTGGGCTTCCCGGGAAACCTCGAGCAGAGCAGGCTACACAATCCCCCATCCTCAAGTCCCCACCGCCTCTTCTTCCTCACTGTCCCCGCCCCCTATTTGTGGACTAAAGATGAACTCTGGTGTGCATGCTATTATTGCTGCAATTAGAATATTATCACACACAAAGGTCTCTATATTAACGCTGGTTTTATAAGTGACCGTATATTGTAAAGAGCTGTTAAAAAGTATTATAGACCTATTCATGTATTATTTCACATGTTTTGACTCTGGCTTGCAGCACCATTCGGAGTAAGGATGACAGCAGGCCCAGAAGGTGTCTTACTCAGAAAAAAAAATGCCTGGTCAGCAATTCACTGTCATGCACCTATTTTTAGATTGGGCAGGGAGATGGGAGGAGTCGTGATTTTTACTTTGAATACTATTTCACTGACGTTACTAAGCATTGCAGCACAATGTAGAAATTGGCTTGGGATGGATAGGTATAGGGAAGGGCATTCGTTGGGAAATTGATGACCGGAAACTAGAAAGCCCCTATAATGTGGAATATGCATATGTGGGGTGAAACCGTATACTACTTTCACTGCCATGACACTAGGCAAAAAATATTTCCTGTTAAAAGAAAGAGAAAAAGAGAGGGATATTGAAAAATATAAGGAGTTGAGTCGCTTTGTGGTATAGAAGGGAGTAAGGAATAAAAGATATAGAATAGTAATCTAGTTGAACTGTTCTGCACAAAACATGCTTCCTTTTCAAAGAATAGACTTCAAAAGGGACGAACAAACATTAGGTCACCTTTTGTGTTTATAATGAATTGTTGACGTTTCCATGCTGTGGTCTCTTGATATACGGAAGTAGACGTAACTTATTTTCCAGCGAAATTATATACTTCTTCTGGGCTCCTTTGCTCAGTTGCCCCAGGAAGGCTTCCCTGTGAGTAATGCTTATGGAATCTGACAAATGTGAATGAGCTGCCATTGGTGGGAATCAGTAAACTTTGAAAACCTTTCACTGATGATTCCCTGGTAAGTGCTCCTGTGAGGGGCCACTTCCCTAGTATGTGAGAGAGACCCTCTGCAAGCCGCTGTGGGGACTTAGCTTCCTGATACTAGGTAGTGATGGTGGATCTAGAGACATTCACTTGAAGAGCAAGGATTGGGGTGGGGTGGGTTGGTGAATCTATCTCAGGCCACTGCACTGCAAGGTGCATTTCTGTCATTTCTGCAACACCATGAGACCTGAGCAAGAATGTGCTGTGGCAGAGGGGGTCTTGGTTTCATAAATGGGTATATACAGCCTGAACTCAGGAGGCAGAAATCAAAAGAAATCCTTGAGGGCTGGAACCTGAGGATAGAGCGAAAATGGAGAGAAGGGTGTTCAAGGTCAGGAGTGATTTTTGCATTTGGTGGAAAACCTCAAGTCAGACTCAGTGGCAGAACATGCAGCAGAAAAGCTGTGAAGGAAGGAAATTTACGTGATTGTAATGGAGGCTAGGGGTGGATTGGGAGGTGAGTGGAGGAGAGTCTCTGACCAGCTGCAGAGCCAACCCCTATCATTTTATTAACATGGAACCCACACAGATAGGGGAGGGATTAAGCTAAGAACTTACAGAATGCAAACACGAGCACACTCTCTTCGAACCCAATTGTGGGTGTAGCAATGAAAGCAATATGATATGCTGCAGTGTGAAGCTCCTTCTGGGGTTATCGTATGTACAAAGTTTACCTTATAATGGCTCAAATTGTATTTAATTTTTTTGTTTTGTTTATAAATGAAGAAAAGCTATAAGTATAATGTAATTATTTTATAGGTATACTATTAAATTATAGAACAAATAAAGATAATCTAGGATTATATGTGATCCCGGTGTGACGTGCCATAAAAGTGGAATTTTTGACTTGTTGCAGTGAGCTGTGAAGCAGCACTATGCGTTCAGAGAGTTTTTGTTCAACCATGGTGAGTTCAACCTCTAGCTTATGTCACATGATCTCCTTTGGGGTCTGGAATCTTCTAAGAGAAATAGAATCAGGCATCCAAGGAGCAGAAGTGATGGAGGTGGCCCTCAATCCTGGTCTTTGGAAGCTTCCAAGCCTCTTCCACATCCCCTGCCAGCTGAAGACAGAGTATTCTCACTGTGCTGGCTGAAGGAGAAACACTAAACAAGGAAACCTTGAGAAACTGCAGCAATGGAAGTCCACTGTTAGTCTCTCCGTTAGCACCAGGGACACACTTGTTCTGAGTTTTGTTCATTTTCACATTTACTCCTCATGAGTTCCAACATTTCTTAATTTAAATATTTCTTAGTTTATAGCATCTCCATTTTTCTATTAATTGACTTAATCTGCCATTTAAGAAAACTCCGTAATCAATAAAAAATAAAATCCACAATCAAACTGCACATGGTTGATCCACTGTGTAGGCTTCAAAGGAATTAAACTCAACTTCCTAGGAAATAATTCATCTTAGTTTATTAAATGGGACAGAATATTTCACTGCTAACGTATTCTAACTCACTTGTTTTTGAAATTGGCCAGATGATTTTTAAGTTATAAAGTCAATGAAAATGACTTTTGCTATTGTGTGAACAACTTAGAATGTATATATTCCCAGAAGGCTTATTTAATGATTGACCTATCACCACTGATTATTAATGTCTGCATGAATGATAACAATAAGACCAAGTCATCAATAATGCAATGAAAATTTTTTAAGTGAAAGCAAGTTTATTAAGAAAGTAAAGGAATAAAGAATGCCTACTTCATAGGCAGAGCAGCCTAAGATGTCTTATTCATCATGTTATTTTCTGAATTCTCCTTAATCCCCAACCTTGCCACCCCTTCACCCTGCTTCTCACACACAGCAGATGCCCATTCAACTTACCAAAAACAAAACACGGGAAACCGTGCAGTTTTTGTTGTTGTTGCTTGTATCCATTGATGTTACTGACTTTGCTAGTATTTAGTCTAGAATATAAGGCAAAACAAACAAAACCAGGGAAATCACTGCCATATCATTCCTTGAATCCCGAGTTTCCTACCTTCTCTGCCTTCTTTTCTCCACCTTCTACAGCCTCATATGTTTGTTATATGTGTGTGTGCATGTGTGTATATACACACAATATATATATAGTGTATAGTGTATATATTGTGCGAGAAAAAGGAGAGAATGGTGTATATATGGTGTATAGTGTATATAGTGTATACACTTACACACACATAACATCCGGAGATTTTAGTGGAGGGAATAGGAAAAAAATATGTCTAATGCATCTTACCCAGAATCAGAAGTTTCCTGAATTTTTGTAAGGTTTATTGCCCACTTTCTAAGGTGTATGGAGTGTGCGCTTACCAAGTCCTCCAGCATAACTTGCCCCATACCTCTCATCTGGTCCTATTATATGATGTCAATCATATGATGAATCTGTGTAGTGATTTATAGAATGTCCCTTCAGTTTACATTTTGACAAAGAGCATAATAACTTACATTGTCTGGGGACAAGGCCATAAATATAAACTGTTCATCCCACTGGAACGCAGACTACCTCTGGTCCTCTCACCTACCGGGATGATGGAAAACACACTTGCCAGGTAAAGTTCTGGAAGTTGTTTTAATCCGCTTTAGCAAAGAGTTCACCCTGAGTGCAGTAGGTGTAACTGGGGCTACTGCTGGAACATCCTGCCATGTTCCATTTGATTTTCGTAGGAGCCAGCATGGTGAAGTAAATCAAAATATAGCCAGGGCTACTACACTATTAAAGTCTATGAGAGGTTCATAATTTCCCAGATTCCTTCTGGAATTCAGCGTCATTTTTGATTTACTCTTTCTTCTAGGGTGGGGAGCAGCTTCAGGGGCTTCCATTTGTCTTTCCCCACTACAATAGCTCTTACCTAAGAACTCAAGAATCAATGTGAGGGTTCTTCAAACTACCAAGAGTGTCCCTTCCAATTACATATTTGGAAATGAGGGAAAGGATCACCAGGTTAGTCTGTGGACCCGTGGGCCCACTGAGAGCCAGAGCTTGGAGGACTCTAGTAGACGCTGTATGCTCCCACATCAGGAGGGAGCCATGGTGGTTCACTGGGTCTCCAGGTGTTGGTGTCAGTTCAGACCCAGTGTTCAATAATTCTCAAAAGTGCTGAGTCTTCTTCTTCTCTCCCAAACCACATTTGCCTGAATAAAGTGGTCCTGAGCTCCCCGGTTAAGAAGTAGGGAAATAACAAATGAATAGATTTGCCCTGGTATTGCAGGGTCATAAGGAATCAGCCACTTCTTCAGCCAATGGGTTTCAGGTCTGATCTGGAAACCGAACAAGGGATTGTGATTTTCATTGAGATGCTGCCCTCTGTCTCTGATTTTCCTTTATTGATTTATTTTGACTGTGTAAATTAAGCAATACTTCTTGTTGCCCTCCCCCCACAACCCCCCATCCATCTTGCCTTCAGGAACATCATGTTCTAGTAACCATCTTCAAGTTGGGAGTCCACGGACGCCACTATAGTCCTACCCCTCTTTGCAATAACTGTGCCCACTTCTGAAAGCTAAGCATTACAACCTGGCTCATTTTATTCTGAGATCTTGCTATTCTCGTGTCCCTCAGGGAATCTAGATTTACAGCAGCATCTCTTCCTACAGTTATCCCTGGCCTACAGATGATGGCACTACTGAGCACCAGAGCTGCTACCCCTCTCACCAACACAATCATCATAGCTTTGGTAACTAGAGACCTTCCTGGGAACACAGTTGGTGAGTGGTTTGGTTTTCATAGCTTTACAGAGCAAACCCACTTTAGCACCCCCACTTCTCTGAGCCTTAGGGTGGTTTTATCCATCATGCACCATGGAAGTTCTTATATTTTTATTTCATGGAGTGTGAATCAAAGTGTTTGAGATACTCCAAGAATTGTCCTAGTAGCTTATTATCACCATTCCTGGGGGATTTTCCACAGGTTCAAATCCTGAATCATGGGAGACTGCTCCCATGGTGATAAGCATTATCCAACTTAATGTCCTGCTCTTCTTCCTTGATACAGCAGCCTTGGGACACATTCCCATCCTTCTTCTCCCGGCTCCTGCTGTGATTTCACCGTACAGTCCGTTTCCTCCCTTAGCCAATCCAGCAGATCCCCAGCAGAGATGAGAGTCTAACAACAGACCTAGCAGGCTCAGGGGACTTTGAGAGTCCCAACTCATCTACCCAGGTACTCCTCTCCCAATTTTAGGGGTTCTACTTCCCTATTAGGGTTCTAATCTTGGGACAAGAGACTTGCTGAAGCTGAGAATACAAAATTCTCTGAAACAGAGCTCCTCTTTACAATTGAGCCTTCTTCTGACTGCAGGAGACTAGGGCTTACTTGAATGCTACCTAGAAGATCCTATCTATGGCTTTTACATTCTGTCTGAATTGGTGATTCATCACTTTGAGTCTTTTATTATCTCTTCAACAAATCAATACCACTTGTAAGCAGGTACCCGATCCCAAAGTCCTTATAATCACTCTGCCCCTCACAACTTTTAAGCACCAAAGATATCAAAGCAGCATCATTCCTCTGGGGTCACATGTGAGGTTCATTGACTCATGCCAAGGAAATCAAGGATGCGGACACACACGAGTGAGTTTAAGAGCAGCAGTTTAACAGGCAAAAGAGAAAAGCTCCCTTGTGCAGAGGGAAGGGGTTCCGAGTGGATCTCCCCACTCGTGGGGAGATGCAGTTGGTTTTATAGATGAGTTTGAGGAGGCGGTGTCTGATTTATATAGGGTGCAATGGATTGGTTGGGTTAGATGTGTCATTTACATAGTGAAGCTGGCCGTCCCACCCTAATCTTTTATTATGCAGATGAGTTATCTACCTGCCCAGCACCATGCTGCCTGTTCCCTGATTGCACACAAGTGACAAAGAAAAGTCAAGATGGAGCCTCCATGAGGAACAGGCTTTGCCCCCAGGTGCCTTATCCTATTGGCACAGCTGCTGGCATTCCCCTGTGCAAGCTTCTGGCTGCTTTTCTATATCTGCAGCTTGATATTTCAGGCTGCTCTTTGTTATTAAAAAAAATGATTTGGGGGCTGCTTTTTATCAAAAGGGAAACTTTATTGAGGACTCTCTTACCCTCATTATCTGATTATCTGTCTAAATAATTTCATTTGAGTTCCTGTATCAATATTGCACCAGCCAGTGAGTCTCCCAACCAGTGTCCCATCCTAATTTACCTCTGGGAAGAGTTTTAACAACACAGGGCTACAGCACACCAGGACCGATACTCAGCAGCTGCCCAACGACTGAGCTTTCTCCAAATCCTGGGTTCGAGTATTCTTCTCCAGGAACTGGAATTGTCTATCTTAGATTGGTTTTCCAAACTCTGAGACAGAGTTGTGAGCAGAAGGTTTATTGGGGGAATGCTTGCAGAACAGAGACCTGTAAGCACATGAGGACTGTGCAGTGGGAAAAGCCATCAGGTCATAAATGAGGACTTGTCTGATCCTGTGGGGAGCTCTGGAGCTGGGGGGCGCATTTTAGAGTGGTGCCAAATTGAAGAAAGAGAGACAGGCTTTTGTAGCCCACATCCCTCAGTCACTGAGCACAAGCCATCCCTAGGACGGGGCGTGTATTGCCTCCAAGGGCAAATCTCAGTGAGGACCCAGCTGTTAGTTTCAGCGAGGGTCAGCAGCCAGGTGAGATGGTGAGATGGGATCGGTACATCAGCCCTGAAGACGGTATCTGGGGAGAGCAACATAATAGTCACCTTTCCCTGTGTGTTAGGGGTAGGTGTGGGGGCTGGAGCATGGGGGGAAGGAGGAGACAGAGAAGAAAGAACATGGAGGGCCTTGAAAGAGAGGCAGAGCAAGTTCCACCTGACATCATAGGAAATAGAAAATCGCGGACAGATTGGATCAAGGGTTATTCTAGTCACGACATGCTAGGTGATTGGAGGGAACAGAATCTGGGTCCAGATAGGCCAGCTCAGGGGCTCTTGCAACAACATAAACTGAAGGTTAGGGCCAGACCAGGTAATAGAATTGGATCTGAAAGAAGAGACAAATATGTGAAGTAGTCACAGAATGCGGTGATGAAAGAGGGGGGTGTTAGTGCAACAGATGGGCAGCCCAAGATAAATGAGGATCCGGTTACAGAAAATACTGATGCAGGTTTTTATAGATGTTGGGTCTGTGGTGATAGTGAAACATTTATGTAAATGAAACTTTTTCCCTGTTTGAAGAAATAGGACAAATTTATATGAGCAGCTAGATCTGGAGAAACTGATATTGAAGCAAAAAGATTGTAACTAAATCCACGAACATACATGAGACTTTTTTTTTAATTTGTTTTGTTTGTGAGACAGGGTTTCATTCTGTCACACAGGCTGGAGTGCAGTGGCGGGATCATGGCCCTGGTCTCAATCAGTCAAGTCTCCTCCAACTCTCTCTCTCTCTCTCTTTTTTTTTTTTTTTTTGACATGGAGTCTCGCTCTGTCCTCCACAGTGGTGCAATCTTGGCTCACTGCAGCCTCAACCTCCCAGGCTCATGCGATTCTCCCACCTTAGCCTCCTGAGTAGGTGGGACTACAGGTGCATGCCACCATGCCTGGCTAATTTTTCTCTTTTTGTAGAGTTGGGGTTTTGCTATGTTGCCCAGGCTGGTCCTTGAACTCCTGGGCTCAAGCAATTCACCCACCTCAGCCTCCCAAAATGCTGGGACTACACCCAGCCCATATATGACACTTCTAATAGGGACAGTGGAGGAACACAGGGCCAAGTAACCTTAAAAAATCCTTCTTTAGAAGAATAGGAAGTTAACAATAATATGTTATATCATATATCATATAAATAGCTACAAGGAGGATATTGAATGTTCCCAATACAAAGAAATAATAAAAATTTGAGATGATAGATATGCTAATTACCCTGATCTGATCACTATACATTATATATGTTACATCACTATGTGCCCCATATATATGTACAATTATTATTTGTCAATTAAAAAATCTTTTTGGCAGGTGCACTGGCTCATGCCTGTAATCCCAGCACTTTGGGAGGCTGAGGTGGGTGGATCACCTGAGGTCAGGAGTTTGAGACAAGCCTGACCAACATGGAGAAACCATCTCTACTAAAAATACAAAATTAGTCGGGCGTGGTGGTGTATGCCTGTAATCCCAGCTACTCAGGAGGCTGAGGCAGGAGAATCGCTTGAATCCTGGAGGCCAAGGTTGCAGTGAGCTGAGATCGCGCCATTGCACTCCAGCCTGGGCAACAAGAGTGAAACTCCATCTCAGAGAAAAAAAAAAACAAATTTTTAAGAGTACGGAGATGAAGAAACATCAGAGAAAATGAGTAACGTTCCTCAGGCAATGTCTGCCCATTGCCTGATGTAAAAGTGGAACCTTTTGATCCTTCCTTTCACTGCCTTCCTCTTGCTCTACACAGGCTTCTAATCCTCCCTCCTTCCATGCATATCTGTTGCCATAGACAATTCCAGCTCCTCCTCACCTTCCTGGTGGCAACCCTCCTTGCTCTGCTCTTTGAGCAATGCCACATCTTCCTGATGACGCACTGATGGCCTGAGCCCCATTCCCAACTCACATTCCTGAAGGCAAAGAGGGTGTGTTTAATAAACTAGGCACACATGAAGTCTTCCAAACCACCACCTTCATCTGTCATATTCTGCTGCCCGGACATTCTTTATCTAGCAAGACCATAGTTACTTAACACGATGCAACTGCTAATTTGTGGGAAGGAGACATTGGATACCAAATTATGAATTGGGTGTCTAATCAAGGCTGGAAAACTTAAATTTGATGTTTGAAACTCTAGCACAAAGGTTTGAGAGTTATCCAACTATTTACATCTGGGGTTTCTTGCTTTCTGTTTTTGTTTTCACCACGGTATATCTATATTTTAATTTTTGTTTTATTTGAGGAGCCAAAGAATATACAATTTGTGTTACCATCGGCACCGCAAGTCTGGTTTTCCCTGTGCTGGGAGGAACTCTGTGGATGGGGTCTATTTCTAGATCTATCTTGAAATTCTGTAAGCTAAATACTCTTTTTTTTTTTTTTTTTTTATTTTCACTCTTTGCTTGAAAAATATGAGCGCCCTAATTTAAGGGTATGCTGACTAATTACAGACAGCATTTATAAGGTAAAATATGTGGATAGGAAATAACAAGTATTGCGGGGCCCAATTTAGATTAATTGAACTTCATTATCGTAGGGCTTGTTGGGACATGGTTTAAGCATATTGCCAGTTTCTGACTCCAAAAAGCCTGAAACCAACAGATAATTCTCATTGTTGATTAACAAGTAAAGTGTAAATTGCTCCTATGATCCATTGCCTGGATTAGAAAGTGATGTTAATCTCTGGAAAACTTTAGAGCATCCGATAGGAGTGGAGCTATAGATTAGGAACATTTACATAGTCCAGGAGGGCAGTATGAAGCAACTCCAAAATTGAGGTGAAAGGGAGTTTTGCACAAGTAGAACCAAAATGGGCCTATTGTGAAAGAAAAAGCCCAATGTTACTGTCACAATCAGACCACCATAGGAGAAAATGTGCCCAGTGGCCTACAGACAACCCCGACCTTTTTTTCATTCTGGCAACAGAGAAACAAGATTGGCTTGCCAGCCTTACACATAGCTCTCTGTAGTGGTCTAGAGTGAGAATTGTCCTGATCGTCCTTGGAGAGGACATCTGATAGAGCTGCTATCATGATGTGGAAACACGTAAACCACCCAACCTGTATTGTCTCCTTGATTTAACAGAATTGACCAGCTGGGTGTCATTTGATATTTGAAATGAGATAAATTCCACAAAATTAATTATAAAATATTTCTCTATTGACTGATTTTTTCATCTCATCAAAATCTAAAAGAACCAAAAGAAATAACAATTAAAATTCTCTCTCCTCTATCCCAAATTCTACCTGTTTTTCTTCTCCAGAAGCAACTAATAATCAGTTTCTTGTCAATGACTCCAGAGATATTCTATGTATGTTAATTTCTTGAAATTCAGTAATCATGCTGCCATCATTTCTTCATAAATGAGACTGTACTATAAACACTGTTTTTCTTCCTGATTTCCCCCCCCCCAAGGACAAAGATAGAAACTTTTTATGGATTTTTTTCCCCTTAATAAAATGTTGTACATCTACATCAGTATATAAAGGGCCTGTTTTTTCTCTCTCTTTTTTTTTTTTTTTTTTTTTGGGATGGAGTCTCACTCTGTCCCCCAGGCTGGAGTGCAGTGGCGCCATCTCGGCTTACTGCAACTTCCGCCTCCCGGGTTCAAGCGATTCTCCTGCCTCAGCCTGCCGAGTAGCTGGGATTACAGGCACCTGCCACCACGCCCGGCTAATTTTTGTATTTTTAGTAGAGACGGGGTTTCACCATGTTGGTCAGGCTGGTCTCAAACTCCTGACTTCAGGTGATCCACCCACCTCGGCCTCCTGAAGTGCTGGGATTACAGGTGTGAGCCACCGCACCCAGCTGTTTTTTCTGTTTTAAAGCCTAAACGTTACTTCATTATTTAGACATTTCCAATGTTTTGCTATTACAAACACTTACTGTCACTTTCTAACGTGTAAAATGTAATTGGGCAAGTTTCTCTTTCCACTACTCGTTCCTCCCCAAAACCTTGACTGTTCTTGCTTATTTTTATGTTCAAACTTTGAAGTCAACTTCTTTAGTTCTCACCCTCCCTCTTCCCCCGATGAAACATTCTGCAGGTATTTTTATTTGGATTGCATTAAATGTTTTGGCGTGCACTAAATTTATATTAAATTTATAATTTGTTTAGGGAATACTGGCATTGTCATTGCCCTTCCATTTTTGTGAGTCTCTCAACTATTTTCATATAGACCTTACACATTTCTTATTACAGTTATTCCATGTTATTTGGATTTTTTGTTTGCTATTTTAAGTGGGGATATTTCACAATTTTATCTTCTGACTGGGTATTGTTTGTTTACATGAAAGTTCTTGATTTCTGTATATTAATTTTTGGCCTAGTCGATTTATGTCATTCTATTATTATCTTTAATAGTTGTTTTGTTATTGTCTGTTTTTTGAGCATATAATCTAATAAACAGCAAATAAAAATTAACTTTACCTCATCCTTTTCCATTGTATACCTTTTTTTGTTCATTGCCAGAACAGTGATAAATAGCAGGTGAAAGTAGACAACCTGGTCTTGTCCCTGAGTTTTAAAGGAAATAGTTCTTTTTTAAAATTTTTTTATTTTATTTTATTTTTTGAGGCAGAGTCTTGCTCTTGTCACCCAGGCTGGGGTGCAGTGGCGCAATCTTGGCCCACTGCAACCTCTGCTTCCCAGGTTCAAGCCATTCTCCTGCCTCAGCCTCCCAAGTAGCTGGGATTACAGAGGCACAAGCCACCGTGCCCAGCTAATTTTTGCATTTTTAGTAGAGACGGGGTTTCAACATGTTGGCCAGGCTGGTCTCGATCTCTTGACCTCATGATCCGCCCGCCTCGGACTCCCAAAGTGCTGGGATTACAGGCGTGAGCCACCATGTCTGGCCAGAAATAGTCCTAAAGCGTCCCCTTATGCCCCAGGCTGACTTTACCTTGAGGTATTTGATTCTTTAAGGACATATTTATGTTATTCAGAGTTTTTTCTTCAAAAATTAGTTAATTTGTTAGCATTTTGAGGAAATCATGTGTTTTTTTCTCCACACATGCATATGATTTTTAAATACACATATATTGAAATATGCAAGGCAATACTCATATGATCATCCTAGCCTTCCAGGAATAACCCCCATTTCTCCATGGCCCTTCTGATGTTTGCTAACGTGTTTAGTATTTTTCACTGCTATTCCTCAATAAGCTGGCCTATAGTATTCTCACTTAAATAATCTTTGTTGGTTTGATAGCAGTGTTAATGATATTTGCCAGCTATTTGCAAATATTGAATAGTTTGTGTGGGGAGACAGTAGGGTTGTGTTTCAAGCTAGACAATATTTCATTATGAAGTACGATGGAGAGCATGTCTCGTTCTAGTATTTACTACTGTAATTCAGGGTCTCTTCCTTCACCTTTGTCTTATTGATAGACACCTTCTTGCAAATATGGTTTGTCAGCCTAATTTCTCATGTAGGCATCCTTCCTGATGTAAAAAATAGTAAGAGACATTCAGGGGAGTGTCTAATACCAATTGGTGTACCGAGGTCCATTATTGCAAACACAGTTTGAGATAACACCTCCCAAGGGTATGGTTTCACCTTGGAGAAGGATTTTGAGATAACACCTCCTAAGGGTATGGTTTCACCTTGGAGAAGGAGACTTTCTTGCTTTTTCTGAGACGTGTCTTCATGAGCATCCTCTCTGCCTTTTTCCATACCCACACATTTGGGAGATCTTCTGTATATTTTGTGGTTTGGGTTTTCGACACCTCTAATTTTAATTGAAGATAAATCAAAAATGATGCATATTTGTTCCTTGTTGCTTTGGAATGATTTTTGGGAGAGAAGGGGGTGAATGTCCCCTTTGTCACACCACTTTAGAACATCAAACCTCTTCGTATTGCTTTTGATTGTTTAACTGTGTTTCACAGGAAACAAATACAACCTCCAAAAGTCTGAGTTCACCGATTAGCTGGGAAGTGGAAATGCTAATGACAGCTGGTGTAATTCAAGGAACAATGGCACAGGATTTTCAGAGCTTGTAACAATTTGTTCCCATCCACTTACCCTTGAGTTCTCCCACCTACCATCCACAGTCACTTCTCTTTTTACCATACTTTTTTTTGGCTTTGTTTTTTCTTACCTTTCTGGCTTTTAGTTGGATTGGATTGACCTTTAGTTGATATGTTTTTTTTTCTTATTCCTTCTTTAATTCTTTTTGTTCTTTTAATGAACAGTGCTAAATGTTTAATTTATATTTACTTTCATATTTTTGTAACAAAGTCCAAACATATTCATTATCACCATCTTCTCCCTGTTTTGTTTTTGGACAAGGTGTCACCCTATCACCCAGGCTGGAGTACAGTGGTGTGATCATAGCTCACTGCAGCCTCCACTTCCTGGGCCCAACTCATCCTCCCACCTCAGCCTCCTAAGTAGCTAGGACCACAGGCAAGTGCTACCACACCTGGCTATTAAAATTTTTTTTTCTTTTTAGAGATGGGGTTTCCCTAAGCTGACCAGGCTTGTCTCCTGGGTTCAAGGGATCCTCCTGCCTTGGCCTCCCAAACTGCTGGGATTACAGCTGTGAGACGCCACACTTGACCATTCTTTTTTTTTTTTTTTTTTTTTTTTTTTAAGGAGATAGGGCTTTCTATGTCTCTTCATAACACTTAAAGCTCACGTAGTGCTTATATGTAGGGTGACCAGAGTTTGTCTGGGAGTGGTATCAATTTATGGAGATTTTCCAGGTGTAATAGCCTCACTTTTACTCTCAATGGTATTCTGGTTTGAAGAATAAGTTATTTGTCACCCTTCTTAAATATTATATTGCCTGATATTATTTTACATCGCTTGTCTCCCTCATTAGAACATAAGTTACACGAGGATGGGACATTCTTTGTCCGTGACTCCCAAAGCCTACTCCAGTTTCTGGCACACACTGACCACTCTAAACATTTGCAGAATTGAATGAATGAAGAGAGCAGCACATGCCCCATCGCGTGTTTGAACTATTCCCTGAACTTCTCCCACCCAAGTTGTTACTATCTAAAATTTTAGTGCCCATTGTAAACATGAAAAATTAGTTGTAATTGTTACTGTTTACATTCTAGGGTTGATTTTGTTTCACCAGTTTCTATGGCTTCTGTGATTTCTTAAATCCCAGGCCCTCACTTCGTTTGCATCTTTTTCCTTGCTGAAATGTGCCCCGCAGCAGGCGCTTCAGTGAGGCTTCGGGCGTAGTTACCTCCTGTGCTTTTCATATGTCTGAAAATCTCTCTCTCCCCTTCCATGTGAATGATGTTTCAAGTGGGTCTAATGATCTCAATTCACTGCTCTCCTTCCACAATTTAAAGACGTTTTACCTTTTTTTTTTTGAGACGGAGCCTCGCTCTGTCGCCCAGGCTGGAGTGCAGTGGCGCGATCTCGGCTCACTGCAAGCTCCGCCTCCCGGGTTCACGCCATTCTCCCGCCTCAGCCTCCCGAGTAGCTGGGACCACAGGCACCCGCCACCATACCCGGCTGATTTTTTGTATTTTTAGTAGAGATGGGGTTTCACCGTGTTAGCCAGGATGGTCTTGATCTCCTGACCTCGTGATCCGCCCACCTCAGCCTCCCAAAGTGCTGGGATTACAGGCGTGAGCCACCGGGCCCAGCCAAGACGTTACTATTTTCTAACATACATTGTGGCTGAGGACAAATCTACTTTCAGAATAACTGCCGTTTCATTTTAAGTGACGTGTCCTTTCTTTCTGTCGTTTTGTTTGTTTGTTTGATTTGAGACGGAGTCTCGCTCAGTCACCCAGGCTGTAGTGCAATGGCACGATCTCGGCTCACTGCAACCTCTGCCTCCCCGGTTCAAGAGATTCTCCAGTTTCAGCCTCCCGAGTAGCTGGGATTACAGGCGCCCACTACCACACCTGGCTAATTTTTGTGTTTTTAGTAGAGACAAGGTTTCATCATGTTGGCCATGCTGGTCTTGAACTCGTGACCTCAGGTAATCCACCCGTCTTGGCCTCTCAAAGTGCTGGGATTACAGGCGTGAGCCACCATGCCCGGCTAACGTGTCCTTTCTTTCAAGAGGTTTTCAAATTTTCTCTTTACCTAGCTGGAGATTCACTTTGACCTTTCTTGGTGCAAATGTATTGGTATATATCTGTCTGGCACTTGATACGTGTTAAGCAGAGGATATATCTTTTTTCAATTCTGGAAAATTCTCAGCCATTTTTTTCCTCCAAGCCATTATTTGGCTTTTCTACTATTTCCTTTAATTTCTCCATATGGACTGCCTCTTTAATTGGAGTCTCTCAGTTTATCCTGTATCTCTCTTAACTTCTCTTACATGTTTACAAATATTTTCTCTCTCTGCTGTGTGGTCTCACTAAATTGCTTGGTGCTACCTTCCAAATCACTTGTCACTTAATGTGTGCCCATCTAGAACTCATTCAGCTTCTGTTTTTTGTGTCTCAATGATTATATATTTGAAGTTCCTTTGCAGATTTTTTTTTTCTTTTTGAGACAGGGTCTTGCTCTATTGCCCAGGCTAGAGTGCAGTGGCATGATCTCGGATCACTGCAACCTCCACCTCCTGGGTTCAAGCAATTCTCCTGCCTCAGCCTCCCGAGTAGCTGGGATTACAGGTGCCTGCCACCACGCCCGGTTATTTTTTTTTAAGTAGAGATGGGGTTTCACCATCTTGGCCAGGCTGGTCTTGAACTCGTGACCTCATAATCCACCTACTTCGGCTTCCCAAAGTGCTGGGATTACAGGTGTGAGCCACCACCCCTAGCCTACAGATTCTAGATATAACTATTATCTAAGTTTTGCCGTGTTGTTTGCATTTTAAAGGTGAATTCATTTTGCTGTTTATTGAGTTGTTTTATTCTTTCTCCTTGAGAATTTTCCTTCCGTGCTTTGGATGTGTGTTTTGCAGAGACGTCTTGAGAGAGTGCTCACGTTCTTTTTCCTCTTCTCTCTCTCTGTATCTGGTCATTTTCCATTGCGTCCACCCATTCCTAGTCCAGAACCCGGCTTTCTGGGTGGCACTGGGCTGTGTGTCAGTGACATTAGAGACACTGCAGGTACAGACATGGCCCAGAAGTTAGCTGGCCCAGTGTAGTCTGCCTTCTCCTGCTACCATGTGTCTGGCTGGCTAATGTTTGCCATATCCTGTGGCATCCTCTGCAGCTGTTTTCAGTGGATCCTCACTGGTAGGTAAGTCTCACATCTCTGGTAGTGATCCTGGGTTGATTTCCCTCTACAAATGGGGCATGATCAGTTGTCTTTACTCCATAGAGATTCCTCTTGTTCATGCACTCTCTTGCAACCCCCACTTCCCACCCTGCATCTATACTTTTGAAAATATATTTCATGTTATTTTTCTACTTGGAAACAGAGGGGAAATCCAAATTCTTAACTCACAGCACAATGTTTCTTGAATGACAGAAGTCTTCCAAGTATGGAGCGTATTGAACCTCCCTTTTCTACTTCCTTAACACTACCTTCGTTTTTACCACTACCCTTTTTCAGCAAACAAGGGACTTCATTCCATTTTCAACCTACTTGTATCCTGAAGCATCTGGCATAGTTAACACTCCTATCTTGCCTTCATCAGCAAATATGTAGTGAGTCTCTGTCACACGCTAGGAGCCAGGGAGACCAGTGTCAAGAGATATCCTGGAACAAATGCCTTCTAAACTCAGATACAATTATTAGTGAATCCATGAAATGTTGACAATGTTTCAAGCTGAGGGCAAACATGCGGAAAGACATATAGTTGAGAGGAAATTAGCCTAGAGGTATTTTAGTTTGGCTGGAGGCTGGAATTCAAGGTAGGTTAAGTCAAGAGACTAAACTCAAAATGTAAGTAGGCACTGCTTGGGACTCCGTCTGCCATATTAAACATTTAGATAACATTTTGAGGCCACATATCTTAGTGTATGTGGCCATTAAAATGCTTTAAGTAGGAAATTCAAATGAGCAGATTTGTATTTTAGAAAAAGGTGGATTCAAATTTTAAAAATATGTTGCAGGGCAAATCTCGGAAGATGAGAACAATGAGTAGGTTAATAAAGGAATTAATGAGGGTTCTGAACTAAGACTTTAATAGAAAAGACAGAGACAAATGTATGCATTTGTGATAAGTAATATGTCAAAAGATGAACTTGGGTTTCTGAATGAATAGTGGCTTTGTTCACTGAGATAGATAATACACAAGAATGAGCAGGTATGGAGGGAAAAGATGACAAGCTGAGTTTGAATTTACACATAATGAATTTTAAGGCATGGTGAGATATCTGATTGAAAATGACCAGAAGATCTTTGGGAGATCAGGAAAGAGATCCTAGTTCAAGCCACAAAGGAATAAATATTTTACCAGGATTTCTTACTTAGGTATCATTGATGGGCTTTAAGTTCTTAAGTCCCTGAAACTGTACACACATTTTTGTGTGTGTGTGCAGGTGAATATGCAGCATGCCTAACTTATTTTCCCTCCTTCTCTTATTCCCCACCCCATGTTAAATATGACAGCTGTCTTTTGCAAGTATCTTTATTCTTTTATTATTCATTTTATTTTCATATAAATTAACATCCTAGAAAAATTGAAATAGAAACACTAAATACAGTATTGCACATAGCGATCTTTGTTAAATGCCCTATTATTTCATTGGAGAATGGTAATATACACACTGGAGGGACTGAAGGGGACAGGAAGACTACAAAACAATAGAAAAAAAACCACTACTGTTTCTTTGCACTTAAACTACAAACTAAAAAGTAAGAGACCATACTTTACATAAATACAAACAATTATGATTTAGAACATTGGTTTTCTTAAGTTGCTTTCCATAATTGGTTTGCAAGAGCAATAAATTCTCCCCTTTATCCACAACTATAACTTGCAACGAAGATCATTAAAAGTAATGGAAAAAAACACCCAGCTCATACAAAACCATCACAATGCATTACGAGCTGACCCAAGTCATTATATGACTTCAGTAAAAAAAATGACCATTTTCTTTCACAAATACATAGTTATGGAGAGCAACCCAAGAGTTGGGAAAGCACTGATTATAAACGGTTCTTAAATTTTAAAATAGAAAATTTATACTTAGACATGAAACTGATACAAACAATTCACTAGAAATAACATTTTACCCATATGTCTAAATGCTGTGATGTGGAGGACTGGTTGTCAGTAGAAAGGAAAGTGTTTTTGCTGTGACGAGGAATATTCTCACAACAGTGAATTGTAGTTAATGTTTAGCATGTTGAGAATTAGTGCAGATACTGCCTCTTACACATGCTGTTTTGGTCTATCGGTATAATACCATAAACTTTTACAAAAAGAAAAGGTGTCAAATTCTCCACTGGTCTAGTACGTTTGCATTTTTATATGAATATACAGTAAAATTCAACAATTAGTGAACTGTCTAGAAAACAAAAAGATTATGCAAGAGGTCAAGAAGAAACATGAGCAGAATGACGGTAGTTTCCCTCCCACTCTCAGGTCAGCTGAATTTTGTGAAAGTCGTTGCAATGACTCATTTTCATTCTGCTTTTCATTGTTCAAGTTTTCATGCTTATCTTTGCTTTCTGAAAACAAATACACCAGATAAAAGTTTTAGTTAGAAAGAACTTTTAAAAATGGAAAGAATTTAGAGTAGCCTAAAAAAGACCTTTTCATTTGGATCAAATTCTGTGGGACAAGGTTAAAGGTCTACCAGTCCATAAAGGAAAAAAGTATAAGTGGGATCTGTGTTATCTTTGAGCACTTTTATCAAGACAAATCGCCAAATACTTTTGAGAAAAAAAAAAGTTTTAAAAATTTAACTTCTAACCAATATGAGAGGGTGTCAAACTCTCCATTCTCATCCTCAATCCTACATGCAAATACATAAATATGAAAACTGAAGTGGCTGCTTCACTTCATGGTAAATGTACTCTAATTATCTTCTGTACTCATAATAGCAAGATTGAGGTTCACTAATAAGTAACTATTCCTCCACATTCAATACAGTTATAAGACTGAATCATCAGGAGCAGAAGATAAGCTGAACTATCATGTAGTAGTTATCATTAGATAAGATCATTTTGATACAGAGAAACTGAAGGCACCACTGCTTCTAAATGAAGATATAATTCCTAACTTTTTAAAAAAAAACAGGGCTATTTAATCATATCCCAATTTGGGTTATTTTAATGTCTTTTCCCTTTAGACTACATTAGACTAATTCAATTTAGAATGGTCCTATCCTAAGGCCTAACTCAACTTTTCATTTAAAACATTTACTTACACTGTGGTACCAAGTGATAATCCCTCAAAACAGTCAACAAAACATCCTCAGTATCACAAGGAAAAGCCTTGTCATTTTAACCAAGCCCTTCCCTCCCAGGGTGGATAACCTGGCATTTTGTTTTAAAGCGGGGAGTGGGCAAGCAGGAAACTTAAATGAGCTTGTTAAACTCCGTCTCTGGACTGACCACTCTCCGGCAGCCAACTCTGCCGAGCCATCTGTGGATATAAACGGGGTCTGGGCACCCTGGGCAAAGCGTCACACTGCTCTTGGCGCTTCCCACCAACTTTACATCCCAGTGGATCTAATCCAATTAGAATGATCACTCGTGGCTCAAATACAGCCTCTGCCGTGATCTGTGTGTAACAAAGAAAGTGAAAGATGGTCTCCCCACCCTGCCCCTGCCAACATGCACATATCCACATAAATGCACACCCTCAGTAGATTCAGTAGATTTATCTTAATTTTTTTTTTTTTTTTTTTGAGACAAAGTCTCACTCTGTTGCCAGGCTGGAGTGCAGTGTTGCAATCTTGGCTCACTGCAATCTCCACCTCCCAGGTTCAAGCGATTCCTCTGCCTCAGCTTCCCAAGTAGCTGGGACTACAGGCACACACCACCATGCCCGGCTAATTGTTTGTATTTTAGTAGAGACAGGGTTTCATCACGTTGGGCAGGATGGCCTCGATCGCCTGACCTCATGACCCGCCCACCTCGGCCTCCCAAAGTGCTGGAATTACAGGCATGAGCCACCACCCCCAGCCCAATTCTTAAGTTTTGAATAATCAATATCAAGACTCTTAGCCTTCTGGGCCTGATTAAAGGCATAAGAAAAAGGAGATTCTTGAAGTCAGAAGCTCCTTATTTATTCACACTTAGTAGAAAAATAATTAAAATATTATGAGTTTGTATATATTATGAAAATAGGATTTAAAAGCCAAAGAAAATAACAAGTTAAAAATCAGTAATACTTACAATTCCAGAGTCATGTCTTGGTTTTATTTTATAAAGTGATTTTCCTTTCTTCTGTCTACACACCTCTTCGGCTTCTTTTACTCTGATGGGGAGAAGACACATGTATTTAAACAAAACCTACTTAGATCACCTCATTCTACCTTATAGTAAGTGAGCAAACCTCAACTCAATAAAGATTTGAATTACTGCAGAAAATAATACAATACACAGAAGAATGTTATCTGACATTTGAATTGAAAGCCTCAACTGTTACAGCTACAGACGCTAATTTATCTAGGAGTTCTTAACTTGGAATCATAGTATGATTGAATGGAGTAATATACAAACACATAAGAATTTCTATGCAGAGTGTGTATGCATTTCATCCTATATAAAAGGAATCTTATATACAAGTAAAAAATGAAATACCCCTCATTGTCAGCTGAGAGTATGAGATTGATTCTATTATATAAATAGGATTGGCACCATGACGTAAGTTAGAAGCATTAGAATAATTAAAGAGTATCACAGCCAGGGCGGAGTAGCTCATGCCTGCAATCCCAGCACTTTGGGATGCCAAGGCGGGTGAATTGCTTGAGCCCAGGAGTTCCAGACCAGCATGGGCAACAGAGTGAGACCCTGACTCCACAAAAAATACAAAAACTTAGCCGGGCATGGTGGTGCGTGCCCTGCAGTGAGCTGTGATCAGCACCTCTGCACTCTAGCCTGGGCAACAGTGAGACCCTCTCCCCTGCCACCCCCCACCAAAAAAAAAGTGTCACATAAAAATTTACATGCCGGCTGGGCGCGGTGGCTCATGCCTGTAATCCCAGCAGTTTGGGAGACTGAGGCAGGTGGATCACAAGGTCAGGAGATCGAGACCATCCTGGCTAACACGGTGAAATCCCATCTCTACTAAAAATACAAAAAAAATTAGCTGGGTGTGGTGGCGGGTGCCTATAGTCTCAGGTACTCGGAGGTTGAGGCAGGAGAATGGTGTGAACCCAAGAGGCTGAGCTTGCAGTGAGCCGAGATGGCACCACTGCACTTGTGCCACTGCACTCCAGCCTGGGTGACAGAGCGAGACTCCGTCTCAAAAAAAAAAAAAAGAAAATTTACATGCCATGCTTACTTAAAATTATTTCAGATTAACTTCCTATACCACACACACTCATGCATACAAATCACTTGCAATAAATACTTGAGCAGTTTCTAAAAACTGAGCTTCATCTAGCATGGGAACCAATCATTTGATAACAAAAAAGAGAGTGAGCAGTAATAACATTTTAATGTTTCTAGTATTTCTTGTTAAGCATATATGACAAGGAAAACAACATTGAACTGACCAGAGGTATAGTTAAAAGAAGATGCTATTTGGAGCAAAGTCCTGTATGAAGTTCTGGCTCTGCTATTTGACACCGGTAATGTTCTTGTACCCCTGAACCTCCCTATTCCCTCACAGAGTGAAAAGTTTCCATTATATATTAAATTATCTTCATTATCACTGCACAGAGTTGCAAAGACGGAGTAAAATTTTATTTAAAAAGTTCTTTATGCATTGTAAAAGGCTATAAAATTTATTATTGTTTTAATTAAACAAATAGTAAGAAATCTGTAAATTGGATTTTTTTTTTTTAATAAAAAGGGGAGCTATGACAAGGAAAATAATCTAACAGGTAAAATTTATTTTTTATTACTGTGACTTTTCCTTGGGAATTAAAAATGAATTATTTCTGGAGAAACCAAAGAGGCTGTGGCTTGGTCTTAATAAAATGCATTTCATATAGACCTTATAGCCTAATTTCCTGAAAGAAGTGAATTATAAATATATTTCTTGATCCCTGTGGCAAAAAATCTAATGACAGAATTCATCTCCTTTACAACTAAATCAATTCCTCTTTTTAAACAATAGAATCAAACAAACAACTCAGTATTGCAGCTATAAGATTGATGTTATAGTTTATATTAAAGCATGACAAATGAAAGTAACTCCTTTCAGATATAAAATGCCTGCCTGGTTGATATTGTTAGCAATTCCAGAAAATGATGACAACTTAGAAGATACTTCATTGTTACCACTTTTATTACTTTTCACCCAAGCCATAAATTGCCTTTAATCCTTCCTCTAAACATTTGAAGATAAAAACATTTTCTTTATAACAAACTAAGGATTGCAGCATCCCCATCTCCCTCTGAAACAGCTACCAGTAAATTTAAGTTGAAGTATTTGGATAGGGAATTAAGGAAACTGTTTTTTTTTTTTTTTTCAGCACTTAGTCAAAATCCAGTGGATCTCCTCTTAAATTTACTTGGAGCTTTTTAAAGCATTTTGTGGCATTCCAATAAAATGTACTTTACAAGTATTTAGATCCTCAAAGCATCTTAATTTTCTCCCAATCCTATTTATTTTTTTCTCAAAACACATTTTTGTAAGGATCACAGGAAACCGAGTCTAATACAAACATTTTTAATTTTACACAAAAACATCCAGTCATTCCTTATGGCAGAGACCACAAAAACTGAGGAGAATGTGCATCGGAGGCCTCACAAGATCTTTCAGCTCATCCATTCATTTTTCAGTCATTTCTGAAGCATTAGCTCGAGGTCCAGCACTAGGCACAGCTCAACATTATAGGGACAATGAAATTCAATGTCTAGTAGGAGAGAGATACTCATGAGCAAGTAAATGACAATGTTGCATTAAGAGCAACCACCCAGGTTCGTATAAGGTACAACTGTGTCCTGGAGGAGGATCCTGGGTGGGAAGGCTGGGTTTACAGAGATCTTTCTGGAGTAAGCGACTGCCGAGCCTTGTTTAACAGGCACATCTTAATCGTTTATACTTCTCTTGGAAAAGGAAAATGGATTGAACATGAAAGAATAACATATAAAGGTTGAGTAAGAGTCAAGAAACAGCAAACTGAGCTTCAAGAACTATGAACAGTTCTCCTTTCTGCTGCCATAGGATTCCTGTATGGAGGCAAGAGTTCCAACTGGTTTTCAGGTTTATGCCTCGGTTTCTTATGTGTGTGACTAGGATGAGTCAGTCACCTCACTCTAAGCGCCTCTAGTTATGCACACATAAATGACCTGGGCAGCTGGAAAACTGAGCCCCAGAACCTTGAATATAGTTCCTCTTCTAATTTCGGAGCAGGAGATTCATGGAGAATTTGTTAAAATGCAGCTCTCTAGGCCTATTCTTAGGTATTCTGATTTAGTCACTCTAGGATGCTTTCAGAAGTAGCATCTGGCAGAATCTGGTGTAGGTGGCCTGTAAGGACCACCCTGAGAAACGGTGCCCTGGAACTGAGGCATTAACACTCCCTGAAGCCCCAGCGGTGCTGCCAGACCCCCAAAACAACGACACTTCCTCAGTTCCCACTCTTGTACCAGATTGCAAACCCAAACCACATCAACTTGCTCCTGAGTCTCACTCCTCCTAAGCTTCCCAGCAAATGTTGCTGCTTCCAAAAGCCAATTTTATTTCAACAAAACTCTGACAACAAGACATTTTTCCACACTTTCGGCAGGAAAAAAGAATGTGTCCCTGGAGGTCGACTATGTTGCCAGAGTTGGCAGAAATAAGAAAAATAATGAGGGAGAAGTCGGTACGAAGACAGCCTGAGCCAGCTGCCAACATTCGATCTTCCTACTTGGGCTCTCCATTTGGTTTACGGTGGCAGATTTCATCAGCTGCCACTCTGAGTCTATTGAGTAACTGTTTGTACGTGTTCCATCCACTTTCTCTCCTGCCTCACTCCTCATTCAGTGATGCCTAACATTTCTTAACTAAGTAGAAAAAAGATGGTCATGTCACAACCAGACTTGAAAGGCTTTTAGTGAAAAGGCATGGTGGAGATAACATTTCAAACAATAAATTAAAATGACCAATATGTCCTGTTTGGGAAGGAGGAGAAAGTAAAAAGAGGGACAATACCTCATTGATAGAGTGAGAACGCAATCACCATGAAGAGGGAAGTGTGTCCTGAGAGAGGAAACCAGAGCGGGGCTGAAGATGGTCAAAAGGCTTCCAAACTGTGTCTGCACTTGAGTTTAACTTCTAATCCTGGTGGGGGTCTATGGATGCTGTTCAGAGACACAGCTCTGTGCATGATTCATGAAGAGATATATATACGTATATATGTGTGTGTGCATATGTATATATGTGTGTGTGCATATGTATATGTGTGTGTGCATATGTATATGTGTGTGTGCATATGTATATATGTGTGTGTGTGAATACACACACACACACACACACACACACATATATATATATTTTAGTGGATGCATTCACACAAAGGGGGACTACCCAGGGCATTTGTGAATCAAGATTTCACCCTATTAGAGAACTAAAAAGGGAAGTAAAAATTTTAAGATGACATCTGTGATAGGCTCATTTTAACAGTTGCAACTTCTAATTAGCAATCCAGATAACAGAAGGAAAATATGAGCAAAACCAAACCATATGATAATGAAAAGAAACTTCATTCATCACTTTTAGTGACTTTGGGGAAAAAAAATCAAACAACACAGAAAGCAGAGACTAGAAAACAGGAAATGTAGCATTATCTTTTAGATGGAAGAGATGGACACTAAATGGTAGATAATGGCTATAAAACTTGATGTTTATTTTAATATTTTACAATATCTTTTATTGTCTATGAAACTTCAGAAACAAAACTACGCTGAATAAATTTCAAAGGTAAGTCCAATGTGAGTAAAATAAATTTCATCTCGAAGCAAACTTTCCTTCTAGCAATGCTCAGAAACAGTGAGATTAATCAATGAATGTGTAATTCCCAGATAATGGAAACTTGCCCCCTTTACGGTACTATCTTTGTATAACCAATTTTGAATAGTCTTTCTTGAAACAAATTAAACTTTTCTCTCTCTTAAAGAAATGGAAGGCCTGGTGTGGTGGCTCACGCCTATAATCCCAGCACTTTGGGAGGCTGAGGAGGGTGGATCACAAGGTCAGGAGTTTGAGACCAGCCTGGCCAACATGGTGAAACCCCATCTCTACTAAAAATACAAAAATTAGCCAGGCGTGGTGGTGGGTGCCTGTAATCCCAGCTACCCGGAGGCTGGAGAATTGCTTGAATCTGGGAGGCGGAGGTTGCAGTGAGCCGAGATCATGCCATTGCACTCCAGCCTGGGCAATAGAGTGAGACTCTGTCTCAAAAAAAAAAAAAAAGGAACGATTTAACTTTTAGTTGATGGCCCATGTTCATCATTGGACACTTCACTGTTGTAATGTGCTGTAATACAGGGCCCCCTTCCTAAGGACTAAGGCCTCCTGAGATATGTAAGGCAGTCTGCCCAGTCCCTGACCCAACACTGTACTTTGCCGGTTTTGTTTGTACTTATTATGTCTTCTGTTTCTTCTTAGGATGATAGGCTGTGATCACTTCTTGATAGAGCCAGCATGCCTACCTTAAGCAGAAACTCTATTTCCTTTTCACAATCTCTGTCTTCTCTAGAGAAATCCAGATGACTAAGCTAATTAATGAGAGCAGTAGGACTCCGAGTTTGTTTCTAACAAAACGAATGGAGTTCCTGGACTTACAGGCAGTAATTTCAGTTGTCGCAGGCTTCTCCCCAGCCCCCAGCTCCCACATACTTCATTGTTCACAGTCGCACCTAGAGAAGGTTAGGGAAGCCCCAAAGGCTGACTTACAGATAGGCAGGGAATCGCGGCTCCACATTTCAAAGAATATAAGATTCTAAGCTATTGCATCCTCCAACTGGCTTATTCAACAGGTTCCCATAAAGATAGAGTAATGCTGGAATGAATATAAAACCTGAAATTCAAGCTTATCAAGGTAAAAAAAGTGTGAAATTGTTGATTGGTAATGACAGAGTTTGTGATGCTACAGAGAACTACCCCTGGGAGGTGTGAAGCATTTGGTGAGGAATATGACTATAAGGTTATTCCTCAGTTGAAGCTGTTTTCTAGGTCTTGGGCAAAAATGACCATATGAATATAAAACATCTTTACTTATTAAAACTTAAGTTCAAATTTACCTTTAAAAAAATCTTTATAATAAATTTATTTTCCAAAAATAAAGTTGTAAATGTAACTTAAAGAGAAGCTAAATAAATTTTGAAACATCTATATAAATTTTTACTCCTTACAAGCAAACATTCTAAGTGGTAACAGCTTCATTTGGTTAGGGCATTAAGCATAAAAGTAAGTTCTTAAGAAAAGAAAAACTTGAGTCTAGGAAAATTAGACTATTTTTAAGTTTTATAATATCAGAGAGGAATATGTGAGAGAATAAAAAATACTTTTCATTACAGAATTTGTTAAAACTTGTTTTAAATTCCTATTATTTTTATTTTGGTATTTTTCAAAACCAACAAAAAGTTTCTCCCATTTTGGCCTCACTATAACTGGGCTCATTTACATTAAGGGTTATTTTAAACAACGACAGCAGTTTCTCATTTCTCTCCTAATAAAGATGTATTTTTCTCTACACTCTCCCTACGTAACCCCAGACCCATTTATTGTCAGGCAAACATATACAAAAGTTCAGTGTGATTAAGTTTAAAAATGGTTTGTGAGATGAAGAAGGGAGATACACTCTGGCATAGATACAGAGAAAAGAAACCAGACATCCCTGCAGCCCGCTCTGCAGACAGAATATCTTCATCCACCTTTCAGACCGAAAGCCAAGCTGGCCACAGTCTTATCAGGGAAACAGACATGCTTTCATCATTCAATCGAATGAGAAAGGGAGCCACTTTTCTGCCACTAAACATTAATAGCTTGGTCTAAATAAGTATCTGTGGCAGACGGTTTCATTTCCTGCTGGCTGCAGCTCGGCTTGCTGGAAGTAGCCCTGTTCGCCTATGGAATCTCCCAGCATGGGAGAGGTTAAGTGCATTGTGGAGCTGGGATGTCACAGGTCTGAGGTTCTGATAGAGCAGAGATGGATCTGCTAACAGTAAACAAAAAGCAGATATAATGATCGTTACTACCAGTTCACAATATTCTTTACTAAAACATAACACCATCAGGTCTGCTAAGAAATTTAAAGCTTTTTTACCCAAAAGTAGAGGGAGAGAAAAAAGAGAAAGACAGACACACACACACACACACACACACACACACACACACACACACACACACACACACACAGAGGGAGGCATAAGGTAGGGAGTGTGTGGGGAGGAGAGAGGTGGTGGAGATTCTAGACAAAGGCTGGTTAGAAAAGCCAGCTTAGGAGCTGTGAGTCTTTCTCTCCAGGTAAAGACAGAAGTGAGTATTAGATGTCTTGTGGAATTAAGGTGATCTGGGGAAGTTTATTCGATGTCTTTTGGAATTAAAGGTGATTTGGTGAAGTTTATTACGAGCTCTCTGTTCTCTCCTTTGTAACCTCAGTGACTTAAAATACACACATACAAAACCACAAAACCCCTGAGATATACTGGAAACAAAATCAACCCCAAGTCACTTATCATTATCTCAAAGGAAAAAAACTTACAAGGCTTCCTCAGGCACCTATTTATAAATTTCATCACTGAGAATCTCTGACTTTCTCAGAGAAAACACTGCGCTTGCACCCCAAATGATCAGGAATCACAACTCGAATGAGCACAAAGTAGTTCCTAACACAAAGAAAATCAAGCTTTAAAAACATCTTTGAGCTGCTTCATGCAAGTGTCAGCCCTGGAGGGACTACAGGAATGTGGCTCAGTAATGGACAGTGCAGAAGTAGGACATCATGCTGTGGGGTCTGGAGGGGTCTGCCCCCAGCTCCCTGGGGGTCCGGGGCCAGCACGGATGCCTTACACACATCGTATTCCTTTCCCTTCACAGTAACACATGAAGCAAACCAGCCACTCTTATCAACAACAGGAGCCGAATTTTACAGACTATTCATAGTCTAAAATCTAGGACTCCTTGACAATTAGATAAGTATCTATACTTATGTTCCAAAAACCACAAATGTATTCCTCCCATGAACATAAAATTAATGCACAGATATTCTGTGTATCTGTGTTTCCTGAAACCATTTTTTTGTCGGGTATATGTGGGTGAAAAGAGCTGAGAGGATCATTTACTCATAAGAAAACATATTTGACCAATCAAATTAATTCCCTGGTGGCTGAATCTCTTTGATGACTGTCAAAGATTCTATAAGATGCAGAACACTGTGACTCATGGGTGAGCTCCCTCAGAAATGAAGAACTCTCCCCCATAATTTTAGAATGGCTATAGATTAGTAATGATGGGTGTGGATGAACGCTGCTGTGCACTCATTTTAAACCAACAAAACAAATAAATTGTACACACATACAAATCATCACACACATCTGCCTCTTTCTGTGTTTAGTCACAAAAAGCCACCAGTCCTCCTTTAACTGGCAAATCTACTTGTTGATTTCTAGTCTTTACTCTTCACCATGCTAACAATTCTGAAATGGTTAACTAGTCCCTAATCCCTAATTTTTAATTTTTTTTTTTCAATGGAGTATCCCTCTGTCACCCAGACTGGAGTACAGTAGCATGATCTCAGCTCACTACAACCTCTGCCTCGTAGGTTCAAATGATTCTCATGCCTCAGCCTCCCGAGTAGCTGGGAGCACAGGCGTGCCCCACCATGCCTGGCTAATTTTTGTGTTTTAACTAGAGACGGGGCTTCACCATGTTGGCCAGGCTGGTCTCGAACTCCTGGCCTCAGATGATCCACCCACCTCAGCCTCCCAGAGTCCTGGGATTATAGGCATGAGCCACCAGGCCTGGCCACTGGTCCCTAATTCTTGACAACTCACTTATCCTTCAGTTTTCAGAGAACTTCTGAGTTTTCCAACTATCTTTCTGGACATGTTTCCTTAATCTCTTCTGTTGCTTATTTATTAAGCTTCCTTTCAAATGTCATGCTTTCCCTCCAGGACTCTAATCTGGCCTCCATAGTATCTGTAGGAATTTTCCACTTTGTAATTCTAACTACCACTTCTGCGGTGAAGACTTTTAGATCCAATCCTCTAGCCTTGACCTTTCTCCCAAGCTCTAGGTCCTAGAGGACATTCTCCTTCCTCTCACCCACCTGGGCCTTGGTTAAGAGCATAACCATTCAAAACCATCCATCCAGTTCCTTGATAAACCTCTGAATCTTTTCTCTCCCTCTTCCCCACCCCTTCTATGCATACGCAAAGAGTTAACAAGTTCTGTCATTCTTCAGTAATGACGTTAAAATCTGTCTCAACCTTTCTAATTCCACTGTCCCTGTTTTTCAAGCCTTCTCACGTCCCCTGAACCAGTGCCATACCCTGCAGACTGGCCTCCATGTGTGAAATCTATCCATCCTTTACAAACACGGGAATCATCTGAGCCACTTACTCATTTGCCAAGCAAAAATTGTTTAAAGTTCCTTAGCGAGGTCTGCGAGGCCATTTGCAGACTGGCTCCAACTCACCTAATCTCCCCTTATTCTCTGTAATGTTCCCTGGGCTCCAGCAATACAGAAGCACCTCCCAGTCCTATGAGATGTCTCTGCTAATCTGTTCCCCTGGGACTGCCTACTCATTTTTCCTTTTCCTGTGCTCTCCCATGAGGCCTTTCAGGTTACACTCAAAATTAGCCTCCTATAGGAAACATATCTGACCCTCCAGGCAAGCTTATTTACGTAATCCTCTAAGCTTTCACATACTTCTTTCCCCCCCAGATTTTCACTTTAAGGATGACTTCTGACTATTTATCTGTGTCTTTACTGTGCTAAATAGTAAGATCCTTGAGTTGAGGAGTCATGTATAGTCATCTTTATATTTCCAGGGCATTACATTAAAGCTCACACAAGCAAGTATTCACTAGATGTTTAAAAAATAGCTGACTAAATGAATGGATGATGATGCACAGTAAAACGACGATTAAGCTTAAAAAATCACAGAGATAAATTCTGGTAAACAACTAGGCTTAGATTGAAATCACTTGTTTTTTGCCTCCTTCTTCCGGTGAACTCTTCAGCAATGTGTCTGCATGTCCAATTCACATTTTGAGTAAACTACTAAGGATTTTATTGGACTTGACCTTTGAGTTTACTGACTTGCTGCTATAATTCCATCTGTAAATAACAATTTAGTTTGAATGAATGTACATAAAATTTAAAGTTATAAAATATTTAGGGCATTATGTTTTCTTCTATCTTATAGAAGAACTAATGTCTTCAATACATGACCATTAGGAGACTGTAAGGATACAGCAAGAAATCATGTCAACCTAGCCTCACTAACTCCTAGGTTAGGAGACATATATGTAATATATTTTCATTCCAAAAAATCATTTAAAGACTCTCTCATGGGATATCTGTGGACCAGAAAGAGAAATGATGGCTACATGAGAGGATACCTAGATGAATTTACAATGAACAAACATGCTCAAGGAAGATAACAGATTGACTTTATATACAGTTATGTTCCTTTTTTAAAGAGTGTCTCATTGAGGAAGGTTGAAATATAATCAACTGGTAAAATTTATATAGATATTGTTTTAATCTGAGAACAGGGAAAGCTGTCCTGGCATTCACAGATACCCAGAAAAAGGCCTGGGTTGATTTTTTATTTGAAGAAAATGACTATTTACAGTGGGGCAGTGGTGTGCAGAGACAGTGGGCATATCATGTGCACCATCTCATTTGACCACCTTGTGACCAAACATGAGTGATGCCACCATCCTATTTTAGAGATGAGCAGGCTGGGGCTCAGAGAGCCTCTTGAGGTCACGCGATAGAAGAATGAAGAAGAGAACCCAGATGTGGTTAACTCCACAGTCTGCACTCTTTCCATATCACAATAGCACTAAAAAGGGGACAAAATCATGGGCTTAAATGTCTAGCCATTATTACTATGAAAATGATATTCCTACAGTGGAAAGTAGATTTGAATAGATGACTTGCAATGTATTTCCCAAGTTCAATATCCATTTCCCTTTAGAGAGCACCCACAGAAGAAGCATCTTAAAAGATGTAATGCAATGTAAGCACCCTGAAGGCAGAGAGTGCCTTTTCTCTCTCTATTCCATGCCCAGCACGGCACCTGGCTCATCACAATAGCAGCTAACACCAAGACCTTATAATGTGCCAAATGCAGAGCTAGGAGAGCTTACAGATAACCATCTCCTTTAAATTTCGCAGTAACCCCCTAAGGTAGATATTGTTGTTGTCCAACTTTTACAGATGATGAAACTGACACTTAAAATGGCCAAATTACCTGTTCAGGATCACACACTAATTTGTGGCAGACTTGTAGTAGTTCAAGTCCAGACACACATCATGTACTTCCAGAGCGTTCGCTTTCATCATTGCACTATTTTCTCTCACAATGCACACACATAGGAAGGATAAAAAGCGGGAATACAGGATGCAAGAAGGAAGGCAGGCAAATAGCAAGGCAGGAATGCAGGTAAGCGGAGAGCTTGCGGTTGGAACTATAGGCACCTTTTTATTATGAGACCCAGAACAGTGGCTCTTAAACTTCACTGTGTGTAGGAATCACCTGAAAGGCTTGTTGAAACACAGATTGCTGGTTTCTACCCCCATAATCAGCAGGCCCAGAGTGGGAGTTCAAGAATGTATAATTCTAACAAGTCCCCAGGTGATGGTGACAATGTTTGCCCAGGAGAACATGTTGAAAACCTCTGTTTGGAGGTAGCATAACATAGCATAATATTTTGGAAAATTAAACAAACAAAAACAATATTTATATTGTTTAATAAATACGTGATTTTCAGAATGTTTTTAATATTTTACTTTCTTGCTTATATCAATATATGCATTTATATTTAATGCATATTATATATACATTATATATTTATGTTAATTATATTCATTTACATGTATTTTATTTATTTATGTTTCTATTCACTTACAATCGTTCGAGTCTTTTCTGTTTTTTGAGACAGAGTTTTGCTCTGTCACCCAGGCAGGAGTGCAGTGGCATGATCTTGTCTCACTGGGGTTTAAGCGATTCTTGTACCTTAGCCTCCCAAGGAGCTGGGATTACAGGCACCTGCCACCACGCCCAGCTAAGTTTTGTACTTTTAGTAGAGACGGCGTTTCACCATGTTTCCCAGGCTGGTCTCGAACTCCTGACCTCAGGTGATATGCCCGCCTTGGCCTCTCAAAGTGCTGGTGTTACAGGCACGAGCCAGCACGCTTGGCCTACAATCATTTGATTCTGAAAGACTGAATCTTTTACAACACTGAAGATATTATTTTAAAAGAGAACTAGAGAAGTGGATGCATGTCTTTTAGCAAATACAGAGGAGAAGTTCTATTGAATAATTGGATAAATTTTGAACTCTTTTCAAGCAAAAGTAGTCGTGGAAACACAGTGGGCTATAGCGTTCATCTTTGAAAAAGAAAAGCATGTAAGATTCATCCGGAGAAGAAAAAACAACCACCACATTCTCCTGACTCTAATTTCTAGGAGGAATTTTTGACACGATTGTCTAAATAAAGGATGTGAATTGTAGTCAGTATAAATCTGAAAATGTAGAAGACACAGACATTTTCCAATGGCCAATTTTTTCCTTCCCACACAAATCCTCAATGAAAACTGAGACGAAACTTTAACTTGGTGAAAGCATTTCTGAGGAGAGTAATGCTTACAAACACTTCAAGTATGCCATGTAGGTTTTTGGTGATCTAATCTCATATGAGGTTAAAAATGAAAAATCTAGAAGAAAGGACAGTTAGCATACTTCCTCTACAATCTTTTTTTTTTTTTTTTTTTTTTTTTTTTTTTTTTTTTTAGAGACAGAGTCTTGTTCTGTCACCCAGGCTGGAGTGCAGTGGCACGATAGCAGCTCACTGCAACTTCCACCTCCCAGGTTCAAGAGATTCTTCTGCCTCAGCCTCCTGAGTAGCTGCAACTACAGGTGCATGCCACCACACCCAGCTAATATTTGTATTTTTAGTAGGATGGGGTTTCACCATATCAGCCAGGCTGGTCTCAAACTCCTGACCTCGTGATCCGCCCACCTCAGCCTCCCAAAGTGCTGGGATTACAGGCGTGAGCCACTGCGCCTGGCCTACAATCTTAAATCACAATCACAAGAGTGTCCAGTGAATAGCAATCAGAGGTGGCTAGCATCTCAGACAAATCCTGGAACTGTGATGGTCTGTGCTGATAAGGAAGGAAAACACAATTGCTTGAGGGGGTAGATGAGTAAACAGCAAGGTTCACACTCCATTTTGTAAATAAAGAGCCTGAATTCTATTCTGTAAAATTTAGAGTAGCTTTCTTTCTCATTCTTCCACAAGGAGTTTAATATGGGATCTGAAAACAGATGAGAAATCTGAAAGGTACTATTAAGAGCTTTTTTCAATGCTCAGATGATATGCTTAAGTCTCTGAAAACAGGAAGATTTTTGTTCACATAAATGTTAGGATTTTAAAGCTTCTAATCACATTGGTCATCACTAATATTTTTAAGTCTCTGATATAGAAAAAAAAGAGTTTGGTTTTTTTCTGCATCTTGTAGTAGAGATGATTTTAATTCCATGTCAGACTTGGATTTTCATGGTATTTACAAAAGCAGCTCACTTGATACGCCCTTTGGTCCTATAAGAATGACCATATTCTTTCTGTACATTCTAAGAATGTTTTAGGTTTCCTTAACAAAATAGTAAAACAACAATCACTGGTTCCACAAACTTAACGATAGTAAATAAAAAAAAATACTCCTGCCGTACATGATGGTCGAAGCTATTATAAAATTGCATCTGACAGCCAGATTCATCTTTTATTATCAGAGAATAGTGCTGTTTATTACATTTGACGGTTTTCATGCAAACATCCTTTTACTATTTCCACCTGTGTTAAGATATTTTCTTAATCTTAGTGATTTTTGTGTCAAATAGCTCAGAAAAGTTTTTTATTAAAGCCAGTGAGATATAAAGTTAAGCTCTATTGGTTCTAACAACACTGTAGTTTCTGACCCTTCTCTAGCCAGGATGATGTGTATGGATCATTTGTATCCTATTTTTGTTTAGTAAGACTTTTTTGGTCAGGCTATGGGGCGGGAGAACTTAAGGGCTTTTAAACATAGAAATTACTTTATAGAGAGTTTATGCAATTTCCTCCCTGTAAAACTCATAAAAGAGTACAACAAAGCTATTTATATCATAATAATTTGCAATTATGCAAGAGGAAGAATGGCTTAATTAAGGGATAAGATGTGGGAGATACAAGTCAGGAATGAATCAACGAAACACACATATTAAGAGAGAACAAAGTTCACAATTTTTCCTTTACTGGATCATTTCTACCCAGTGACACATACGCTGTTTATCCCAGCACCAAAAATAAACACAAAAACAAAACCCTAATTCCCTTGCCCTCCTGCTAGCTTTCCTTTCCATTGTGACCCTTTACATATACCAATGCCTCAAGAGCGTGTTACCTAGAGTCACTGCCCCAGCTTCCTGTGCTCCCAGTTAATCAGACATCTGTCCCTAACCAGTCAACAGAGACTACTCTTGCGGATGTCACTCATTCACCCAAGATCCCAAATCCAGGTCAGTTCTCAGTCCTCATCTTTCTCACCCTAGCACTAGCAGTAGTGTGCATGGTTCTTCCTCAATACGCTCCTTCTTAAAGGCCTGACCTCACTTGGCCCACTAGGCTACATAGTCTGGCCCCAATGCTCCCTCTCCGAATTCATCTTCTACCTCTCAACTCTCACTCACTCTGCTCCAGCCACTTTAGGCACTTGACTAAACATGCTCCTTCCTTGAGCTTTGCATGCGATGCTTCATCCATGTGGAAGGTTCTTTCTTCAGATATCCATTAGCTTATTCCCTCATCTCCGAGTCCCTGCTTAGACATCACCTCTCAGAGGCACTGTCTGGCTAATTTATATAAAATAAACCACCTCCCATAGCTGTCTTCTCTTTGCCCTGCTCTGTTTTTCCTTGGAGCTTCGCTGTATATTTATTGATGGTCTGGACCTCCCTTCTATAATGTAAGCTCCACCAGGGCAGGAATTTGGTTTTATTCACAACTCCACTGCCTAGTATAGACACTTAATAAGTACATACTGAAGGACCTCAGGGAAGTATGCGGACAAGTCATACATTCGTAGTGAAGCATGCAGAAGTGGTGCTTACAGTTTGAAGAATGTGGAAGGTGGCAGTACGGGGAACGATTAGAGAGGAAAATGGAAATTGGAATGAAAATGCTCTTGACTTGCCATTCCCCTCATGCTTCCCAGGATTTGTCTCAGGATATCCATTCCTTAGAGAATCTAACTTAGGTTGGGGAACATTGATTTTGAAGTTGTCCAGCTTAGAAGATTTTTCCTAGAGCAAGAGGTGTGAAGGGTCTGGCCTGCCAACTTTGGGAAGTGGTAAGTTGAGAGGTGTAATCTGTTGTATAAATCATAGTACCAGTGCTGGCATAGCTGAACTATCAGATGATGAGGCCCAGGGTGAGCGGGAAGCTAAATGAATCAGAAAAGTCCAAGAGACTCCAGAACAATGAAGAGGACAAAGGGTTTATGTCAGGGCAATAGAAAACCTGGTAGAATCTTCATAGCGAACCTTAAATATCAGATTTATTACATGGAACAAAGGATTGGATTTATCTGTGCGGTTCTAGAGAGAGCAGAATAAGGCCCAGTGAATACATAGTTCAGTCGGCCAGCCATTCATTCTATCATCCTTTACCCCAAATTCTTAGGGCTTAGAAGGATTTTAGAATTCAGCACTCTTCCGCCGGGTGCAGTGGCTCACGCCTACGATTCCAGCACTTTGGGAGGCCGAGGTGTGTGAATCACCTGAGGTCGGGAGTTCGCGACCAGTCTGACCAACATGGAGAAACCCTGTCTCTACTAAAAATACAAAGTTAGCCGGGCATGGTGGCGCATGCCTGTAATCCCAGCTACTGGGGACGCTGAGGCAGGAGAATCACTTGAACTCGGGAGGCAGAGGTTGTGGTGAACCGAGATCGTGCCATTGCGCTCCAGCCTGGGCAACAAGAGCGAAACTCCGTCTCAAATAAAAATAAAAAATAAAAACAATTCAGAACGTTTCCAGTTTCAGATAGGAATATGGAGCATAACACTATCAAAAGGGTCTGACATAGCATGGAATCAATGTTTGATTAAACACAATGGTATTTCTGTAAGTATATGAACACTCACACTATAGAATGAGTAAAGACTGTACATAGCCTCATGAAAGTTGAGTGTTGCTGACAGATAAATTTGCCACAAAAATATGAATAAGCTTTCAGTTTCTGAGGTTTTTGGGTCTCAAAATTGTAGATAAGAGATTATGGGTCTGGACTATAAAATTAGGAATAAAACTGTATATATTATAATAATTATCCCCAAAGTGTGTAGACTCCATTATTCCTGTTAGAGAAGTCATAATCAGGTAGAAAATGACACATGACTACTAGTGATTAAGAATATTTGGATATGAACATGTCGCTCTTACCTTTTCTGAGATCATTATGCAACTTATTATTATTATTATTATTATTATTATTTTTGAGACAGTCTCGCTCCGTCACCCAGGCTGGAGTGCAGTGGCGTGATCTTGGCTCACTGCGGCCTCTGCCTCCTGGGTTCAAGCAAATCTCCTGTCTCAGCCTCCTGAGTAGCTGGGACTACAGGTGCCTGTCACCACGCCTGGCTAATTTTTGTATTTTTATAGAGATGGGGTTTCACTTTGTTGGTCAGGCTGGTCTCGAATTCCTGATCTCAGGTGCTCCACCCTCCTCAGCCTCCCAAAGTGCTGGGATTACGGGCATGAGCCACCAAGCCCAGCCTATTATTATTTTTTTAGAGACAGAGTCTTGCTCTGTTGCCTAGGCCAGAGTACAGTAGCATGAGCATAGCTCACTATAACCTCAAACTCCTAGGCTCAAGTGATCCTCCCACCTCAGCCTCCTAAGTAGCTGGTAGTAATAGCAGTAATTTCTAAAGCACCAATGGTACTAATTTTAGTAGCACCTGTGATGGGCTAGTCACTGCGTTGGGACTTTTGCACTTAATGTCATTAGCAGCATCAATACCATCTTCAGCAATTGTTATCTCAATTGTAGTGTGCCTCCTGGTGGTACACTACAGGCATGTGCCACCACACCCAGCTAACTTTTTATTTTATTTTTTGTAGAGATGGGGATCTTGCGATGTTTTCTAGGCTGGTCTGGAACTCCTAGCCTGAAGTAACTAACCCTCCTGCCCCGGTGAGCCACCACACCTGGCCGAAACTCGCTTTTAATAATTATTAATGAATAGTAAAGTATATCTTATATGGAAGTCAACACATTTCCTCTTTACTTTCCGATGGTCATGTTCTCACCTCTCTTAAGCTAAGAGGTTGTGCAGAGTCCCTGGTTCTCATTTGAATGTCTGGGACACACTAGTGGATTGTAATCAGTGGCAAAGTGTGCTGTGAGTGATTTGACTTTTTTTTTTTTAACTAATAATAAAGTAGAGAGCTTTTAAACGTAGGAGCCAAGCTTTCCTCATAATACCATCACTTTGCTAACTTGGGTTTGTATTCTTTCTTGAATGGTTGTGTCATTTCCAGTAACTCCTCATCTAACCAACCGTCCATTCATTTGTTGGCCCATGACATTAAAAAACAATAGCTTTTCCACCTTTATCTTGAATTTGCCATCAATATTATGTAGCCTCAAGTTCAGGCTCCATACCCTGTGCTCTGGTGCTGCTACTTGGGTCTGGCTTTCTATTTTCAATGCTCCCAGCCCCTTCTCTATCCCTAACTCCAACCTCTGTGTTTCTATGCTATGTTGACAGCTTTGCTTAATGCTTAACTAAGAAGAACAAGATGTGTAAAGAGGGCAAAAGAGGCACAATCCTTGTCCTTTAAAAGACCTCAACACAACACTACTATAAATAGGAGATCTATAATCTAAAGGATTGGAAGCCATATATATTTATTCTTTTCTTTAGAGTGAGAGTCTCACTCCATCACCGAGGCTGAAGTGCAGTGGTGCGATCTCAGCTCATTGCAACCTCTGCCTCCTGGGTTCAAGTGAGCCTCATGCCTCAGCCTCCTGAGTAGCTGGGATTACAAGTGGGTACCATCATGCCCAGCAAATTTTTGTATTTTTAGTAGATATGGGGTTTTGCCATGTTGGCCAGGCTGGTCTTGAACTCCTGACCTCAAGTGATCTACCTGCCTCAGCCTCCCAAATTGCTGGGATTAAAGGCATGAGCCACCATTCCTGGCCCCAAAGCCATATCTTAATGAAGAATGATGCTCAGCAAGAGTGAGTTGATTTGGTGGAGACAAAAAAGAGAAAACGCCATGATTGCTACGGATCCACAGTGAAGAAAGCACAGGGTTCCATGGTAAGAATATTTTAAAATATTAAGTGGCGGATCATGCTGCTAATACAAAAAGATATGAACTCCCTCATAGAGAAGTTATTTCCAGTGACTTTTACCTTCTATGTGTTCTATGCCTTCCATTTTTTTTTTTTTTTTTTTTTTTTGAGGCAGAGTCTCGCTCTGTCGCCCAGGCCGGACTGCGGACTGCAGTGGCGCAATCTCGGCTCACTGCAAGCTCCGCTTCCCGGGTTCACGCCATTCTCCTGCCTCAGCCTCCCGAGTAGCTGGGACTACAGGCGCCCGCCACCGCGCCCGGCTAATTTTTTGTCTTTTTAGTAGAGACGGGGTTTCACCTTGTTAGCCAGGATGGTCTCGATCTCCTGACCTCATGATCCACCCGCCTCGGCCTCCCAAAGTGCTGGGATTACAGGCGTGAGCCACCGCGCCCGGCCCTATGCCTTCCATTTTTAAGCACCATTATTCTTCCTCATCTCTATGCTTCATTAATACCCACTCTCATTCTCCTCCTTTTCCAAGCTCTTCCTCATTCTGTCCAGTTCTTCCTCAATGTTTTATTCATGGAGAGAAAAACACTGGGCTCATTTATAATAATAGTAGTAATTTCCAAAACACCATTGGTACTAATTTTAATAGTCAGCACCTGTGATGAACTAGGCACTGTGTTGGGACTATGACACTTAATATAATTAACAGCCTCAATACCATGTACTTTAGTGATTGATATGTCGATTGTTTAAATTAGAAAACTGAAGTTCACTAAGATTAAATAACTGCCCAAGGTCAAAGGGCTTATCATTGGTAATGCTTCGATTCATGTTTGGGAATACAAACCTAAGGAAGGGTGGCTGGTAGAATAGAATTATGTGGGGTTTGGCTTCTATGAATTTATTTAGTGCTAAATCTTTCTCATAGTAAGTTTATTGCTTTTCAAACAACGTTAATATATTAATGATAATGGCAGCAACTAACATTAACTAAGAAGTTTCTATATGTGAAAGCGTGTGCTAAATGTTTTATACTCTGTGTCTCCTTTAATTTACTTCAGCAATTGGGTGCGTATAGTACCTTCATTTTACAAATGGGGAAACAGGTTCAGAGAGTACATTAATTTGTCAAGGGTTACATGGGTGCTCTCAGAGATATACATCAAATCCAGGTCTTTTTAACCTACAAGCACGTGCTCTTGCTACATACCTTATTCAGCCTTTGTAAAACGAAAACATTAAGAAAACTAATCAGAGGTTGTAGGAAATAAACTTGTGTACATACTCAGTATAGAATTATGAGTGCTTCTGTCATAAAAACAGCACATGAATTTAAGAATGTATTAATATCTACAGCTAGTAAGATGTTTAAAATGAAAGCTACTGAGTTATCTGTGAGCACCTGCAATTCTCTTAACTGATGAAATCTCTTAACTGATGACATACTTTTTTCTACTATTTTTTCTACCTTTTTCATACTTTTTCCTTTTTATGCCTCATTTTATTTACTTCCCCTGAACACCTGGAAAAATTTAAAGTGGCCAAATGGAATTTTATCACTTTCCAAAAATATTTACCTTTAGGCCATAGGAATTTGAACCTAGAGGTTAATTTTAAAAAATAAACCCGTCTCGTAAAGTTAAGATCTAGGAATACACTTTTATTTCTGATAAAATTTTTGCAAAAATATATATTATCTAAATATAATGATCATTGGAATATTTTAAAGATTAAAGAGTTAGTACTTTTACCTCTGTCCTTTTTCCTTGTTCAATACATTTTAGAGGCTCATCTCTGAACCATTTTTTTCTGACTAATTAAAGGAGTGGGGATTCTTGCCTGTCAACTTTCACTTCTGGGTATTTGAAATTCTAAATGAATGCCTAAGTCATGAATATTCAATATATTCTTTTGAAAAAGAGTGAATGGCTACATAACTAAATTTTTTATTTATTTATTTTTTTGAGACAGAGTCTTGCTCTGTCGCCCAGGCTGGAGTGCGGTGGTGTGATCTCGGCTCACTGCAACCCCTGCCTCCCAGGTTCAAGTGACTCTCCTGCCTCAGCCTCCTGAGTAGCTGGGACTACAGGTGAGTGCCACCACACCTGGCTAATTTTTTGTATTTTTAGTAGAGACGGGGTTTCACTGTGTTAGCCAGGATGGTCTCGATCTCCTGACCTTGTGATCTGCCCACCTCGGCCTCCCAATATATAACTGAATTTTAAGTTTTTTTATTTTTCAGAGTCATGGTAAATGCAGCCCACTTTAGATGTCCATTATAAAACAAGAGAAATATTAATAGTGCTAAAATAACAAAGCAAAATACTAAATCATTAATATAATGACAGATACTATCTGTTTATTTAAAAATAAACCCAACACTACACTTCCTTCATGTCTCACTGCTGGTGCTGCTACCCACTATTTTACTATATCAGGCTTATAAGCGCACTTTCTTCTATTGCTCTACTAGTTCTACTCCCAGTGACTCCTAAGTTAGTGGAGACAGAGGTCATCTTTAGGTTAATGAAACTCAGGGGATGAGGCCCCTGTTGGGGAGCAGGCAGTTGGGCCTCTCTAACATGGCTTGCTGGCATTTCCTCCTGGGGAACACGCCAATCATCTCATTTCCCAGCTCATCCCCAGAACCACTGCAGGGGCAGAATATTGTAAAGCCCAAAAAGAGTTGGTACTGACCTAATGACGCTGGTTCTATTCTGCTCACAGCAAAACAGCTACAGACTCAGCCAACACACCTGCAATTCTGTCCTCCTCAAGACAATTTTTTTTTTTTTTGAGATGGAGTCTTGCTCTGTCACCCAGTCTAGAGTGCAGTGTTGTGATCTCGGCTCACTGCACCCTCCACCTCCCAGGTTCAAGTGATTCCCCTGCCTCAGCCTCATGAGGATTACAGGTACCCACCACCGCGCCCAGCTAATTTTTGTATTTTTAGTAGAGACAGGGTTTCGCCATCTTGTCGAGGCTGGTCTCAAACTCTTGACCTCGTGATCCACCCGCCTCGGCCTCCCAAAGCACTAGGATTACAGGCGTGAGCCACTGCGCCCAGCCAAGACAAATGCTTTTAAAAATTAATATTTCCTTACAAAAAACCAGACAACTTGAATCTGCATATAACTCCAAGGGATAGGGCTGAATTCCTTTCTGACCGTACAGTAGCACAAGGATACCTCTGTTGTCCTGTTAACCTTCATTTCATCTTTGCCAGGTATAACCATTAGCTAATTCCACACAACGCCATGGTGGAGGTGGCTTGCCCTAGGAACGGTCTGCGTGCCCTTTCTGTAAAGGCAGAAGTGGCATCTTTCAGGATGACCCTCCCTCTGTAAGGCACAGCTATCCAGACAGAACTTTATATAGCTCAGCATCAAGTTTTAAATCATTCAAAGAAGAAATGTGCAAGGAGACATACCAGCCTTTCTCCAGAGAGAGATCAATGAGCTACGGAGCCACATTGGCCAGGAGCACGTTCTTTCATCTAGATACAGAGCATGTGACGCTCGGGTGCCAGCCTCACTGCTGGCCCTAAAGGAAGGGAGCGACCTCTATAATCAATCGGAGGTGGAACGTGGCTGGGGCCGGGTGGGAGAGGATGGAGACAATGCTAAAAGATTAGTTAGGGAATGTTTAGTATTACCAACAAGATAAAATGACAGATGAGGTTGATTACCTAAAGTGTTCAGACTTAGAAAGACATTCAAGGTATCTGGGATCCTAGGTGTTTTATTACAGATCTTAGGAAACAAAAGCAAAGTAAATCGAAATAGAATGAAATGAAATGAAAATGCTCATAGGCTTCACATAAGACAATATTCAAAGGGATTCTGCAGACAGACCTCTGTTGTATTCATAATCTAATCTATGTATTAATAAATTATAGTTATAATTAGAAAGCCTAATTGTAAAACAAAAATGTTTTACATTATTTTAGGAATTATATTAGCTGTAATGCTGTTTTCATTTATTTGGCTCTGCAGAATTATTACTCTTAAAAATTGCAAAATCATAGGCCCTAAAACACCAAGAATTTTAGAATTTAATTTTGATGTGACATTATAATAAGTATATGAGAAATGGGGAGACATTGGTCAAAGAATACTTATAACTTTGAGTTATAAAATGAACAAGTCTAAAGACCTAATGTACAGCACAGTACCTATAATAATAATAATATGTATTGTACACTTAAAACCTGCTAAGATAACAGATCTTAAAGATCTTAAGTATTCTTACCGCAAAAAGTTAATGGATATATTAACGCTTAATTGTGATAAGTACTTAACAATGTATATCAAGACATCACTTTGTATAACCTTATGCATATAATTTTTATTTGTCAATTAAGCCTCAATAAATCTGGAAAATGAAATAGCATATATATGTAATGATTTAAATAATGATGATGACAATTTACATGTCCCTTTAAGGAGGAACAAATTGTATACAATAGCTTTTCACACAAACCGAAGAACTCCAAGCTACATGATCCTAATTTGCCATGATGATTGTGGTTTAATCGATGGAAACTTGAATGAACTAGAAGTGTCAATATCCAAGACCACACTGTAATTCTATAGCCGGTTCTTCAGCATCAGCATGGTTAATCTTCACTGGGTATCTGCTCACTAGAAAGTACCATATCAAAGGTCTGTCTCTAGTATTGTCTGCCTTAAACAAAAGTTTCCTTTCCACGGGCTCAAAATTCTTCTCATGACCTAGCAGCTGCCCACGGTTCAAGTTTCTAAGGCCAACCTTGTATGGCAAGCAAAAAGCCTGAGCGGTGACTTGGTCAGAAGGCCATGGAGTGGGGCCCAGTGTCAGTAAGCAGAAAGTCACAGGAAAGGCAGGGAAAGTGGGTACCAGGGGGCATAAGGATTCCGGAGAGAGGGTGAAGTGTTCATTAAACAGAAGGGAAAGATGCAAATCTTCACCCATAGCAAAGACAGACAAATTCATTTTCTTCTTATGTACTTTAACCACTTTTTTTTTTTTTTGAGACAGGGTCTCACTTTCTTCACCTAGGCTAGAGTGCAGCGGAACTATCTCTGTTTGCTGCAGCGTCAACAGCCCAGACTCAAGTGATCCTCCCACCTCGGGCCCCCAAGTAGCTGGGAATTCAGGAAGGCGCCACCACGCCCAACTAAATTTTGTATTTTTTGTAGAGATGGGGTTTTGCCATGTTGCCCAGGCTGGTCTCAACTCCTAGGCTCCAGCCATCCACCCGCCTTGGCCCCCCAAAGTACTGGGATTACAGGTGTGAGCCACCCTACCCTGCCAGTTAACCACTTTTTATCATATTGAATTACTATTTTTTTTAAAACAGGGTCTTGCTCTGTTGACCACGCAGGAGTGCAGTGGCACAATCATGGCTCACTGCTGCCTCAACCTCCCATGCTCAAGTGATTCTCCTGCCTCAGCCTCCCAAGTAGCTGGGACCACAGGTGTGCACCACCATGCCAAGCTAATTTTTGTTTGTTTGTTTTTGTAGAGACAGGGTCTCCCTATGTTTCCCAGGTTGTTCTTGAACTCCTGGGCTCAAGTAATTGTCCTCCCTCAGCCTCCCAAAGTGCTGGGGATACAAGCGTGTGCCACAGCACCTGACCAAATTCTTTTTTTCTAAGTATTTATCTCTTTCCATTAGCAATAAAGGTCCTATGTATTACAGAAACTTGAATAATAGGACTCTTCCCATGGAGATTAGATTTGAAAAAGTTTATTCACAATAGATGAATAATTGTTCAAAACACATACACACACACATATATATGCATACATATAGTATTTTTTGCATGTGTGTATATTTTTAAAACATGACTTAGAGTTCGTGAAGTGGGTTTACACAGGGAAAGCACCAGCCTGTTTCATCACTACAGAGTCAAACTACTGCAAATGACTAATTATCTAAGTTGATGATGGTCTTTTTTGATTCTGGAATGAGCTGTGCAATTTTTTAATAGCTTTTTCCAGCAGATTTATCTCCCAAATTCTGTTAGCTAATACTCATGTTTGTAGTTTCAAGGTTTGTTTTCTTGGGTACATACAAAATTACTCGGGTACAGGGGAAGTAGCAGGAGTTGTACCAGGCAGGCAGAAGAGGGACCGATGTTAGATTTTTCAAAACTGTGAACACTCTGAATAACGATCACTGAAGGTTGTCAGTATGTTCAACTGTGGTCCACTCTCATGCTTAGAACTCTGATGCAACTCTAATGTGTGAATTCTACTTAATTCTTCTTCCTTCCAGAACAGCCTGACTGAGCTATCATTCACATGCCGTACAATTCACTCACTGAAAGTGAACGTCAACTTTTTTTGAGTAGATGCGTAGGTTTGTGCACTCCTCTAAAACCATCTAAGTTTAGGGCATTTTGTACCCCCCGCAAGAGAAACTTCATTAGTAGTCACTCTCCATTTTCCTCCCTCTGTACCCCAAGACTCCAGCTCCTCACAAAGACGAATCTACGTTCAGGCCCCACGTATTAGGTTGGTGCAAAAGTAATTGCAGTTTTTGCCATAAAAATAATGGCAAAAGCCATTTTGTATTTCCACCAGCAAAGTATGAGAGTTCCGTACATTCTCATCATCTGCAACACTTGTTACTGTCTGTGTTTTTTACCACAGCCTTCCTAGTGAGTATGAAGTATATCTCACTTTGGTTTTGATTTGCATTTCCCTGAGGACTAACAATGTGGAATATCTTTTCATGTGTTTACTGGCCATTCTACTTACATTTTTTAGGACCATTTTCTTTTCATTCTCTGTCCAAGATACCTGAATATTATCTTATTTTTTGTAGGTCCTATATTGAAATATATATTCTCAAAGTACCTCAATACGGATGTCCATTCTTGGTATCCAACCTCCCAACATCCCCCAACACACACAGACCCAGCACATGCTTTCACAAATAATTCCTTTTAAAACTGAGCTTAACGTCTCATTACAGCTGCTTCTAAACCTTAACCAGAGTCCAGCAGCCAAAACCAGGTGAGCGAATTGCTGTCTGTCAAATAAAATAACCACTAACATGTCTTGGTCTAACATCTGTTGTTAGCTTCAACCCTGCCGTAGGGATCGATACCTCTAGGTGGAGGCAATCTCTTCCCTCATCTCTCAGGAATAGTCTTTGATTATCCATTTGCCCTAAGGCTGCTAATGTTTAAGTGCAGAAGAAACACCTTCCATTTTTCTAAAGCTCCACTCCCCCTAATGGGAACAGGGGTAGTGTGTGAAGCTGAAATCCTAAAGTCGAGCAGGAGGAGTGTGTGAATGTGGAAATTCCTTTGCCCAAAGGTGTGAGAGTTAGCCCGGAGCATGTCATGGTGGGACTGAGCCATGGGGAAGCCTTTGGCTCCTTACGTTTTTGATTATCTTAAAAATCCAGGCTCTAGCAGAAGTCCACGCAAACCTAACAATTTGTTAATTTGATATTATTCAAATTCAACAGGTCTGTACTTCCTCTAGCAAATTATAACCATTTGAAAGTATCCTAAAGAAATTAAAAATTGCCCCTGAAAAAATAACGTCATCTAGCTTGAATAGGATCTTGTTTTCGGCCCACATAAGCCACATGATGTTATTTTTTAAAAGAGTAACTTTAAATATCTTCACTCCAGGAAGTATATTTTGATCCAGGATAGTTCTACTGCAAACTTTGCTATGACATCAAAAAACCCTTTTAGCAAATGCTAAAGGGGAATTAAAAACTGCTCAGATACCTTACAAGTGTCTACACACTCATTAAAAGATGCTACAATGTTCAAATCCTTACCAAACTAAAAACATCTTTGGACAAGCCACGTTCTTAGCTCTTGGTCCGGATTCTCTAGAACTACCTACTGAGAGTTTCTTCAGTTTTTGAATTGAGGATTTTGAAGATTTCCCAAAGTTTTAAAAACACCTCTTGGAACACGGCAAGATAAAGAAGCAAATGCAAAGCCCTTTCCCAGCTAATCTTCACGTTAGGGCTTTCCATTTTTTAAAAAGAACTAAATTTTACAAAGTAAATATCTTAATATCCTGGTTTTCATATCTTTCCTCAGCTCTTTTTCTACAGCATTTTAGAAGAAAGGAGAAATCTGTTTTCTTGTTTTCTTGATCTCTAGCATCCTAGTGAATATTAGCTTTTCAGTATCTGAGCTGACATTTACAATTTTCTGATTCCAAAAACTGGTTCATCCAGGAGCCTGTGAACAGCAAATCTATGTAGATTTTCCTCCAAAATATATCTCAAATTCACCTATTTTCCACAATCTTTACTGCCTTCACCCCAGTCTGCAGAGTCCTAGCTCTCAATTAGGTCACTAAAATAACTTCCTAACTTGCTTTTTACTAGCACTCTCCACTCTCCAATTTACTACCCATTTGGCAGCCAATAATCTTCTCATTACATGTATCATATAAGGTTATTTTCTCTCCAGAAAAAAAAAAAAAACCCTTTGATGGCTTCCTATTGAATGCACAATAAAAGTCAATGTTTACCATGACTTACCAGGGCCTGAATGCTCAGGACTCAGCTTGCTTTATCAAATTCATTGCATGGCCCCCATCTTTCTTGGAAAGTGCTTAATCTTTCCTGCCACATTGCCGTGAACATCCTTACCATCTACCCGGAATGCTCATACAGCACATTACACCCTCCCCACTGTGCCCCTTCATGGGGCTGTTCCCTTGAATTCTTTAGGTGTCCACAGCAATGCTGCCTCTTCAGAAAGGCCTCCTCTGACCAACCTCTCTAAATGAACCTCCTCCCGTTGGATTCTGCAAGATGACTCCCTGTTTATTTTCCTCATAGCACTGATTTCAGCTTGTAACTTAAATATGCGCTTACTTTTTGTTGTCTGTTTCTCTCATGAGAAGAGAAAAGATCCACATGGCCAGGAATGTTGCCTGGCATATAGTAGGGCATACATATCATAAAAAATTGTTGAATGCATTACTTACTGTCTTAATGTGTATGCGTTACTCCAATTCATGAATACAGCTAAATCTTCTCACACCCTCGGCCTCCATTGGCCACTATTTTGACTGTCCTGTTTGTCGACTCTTCTGCCAAACCTTTGGTTACAGAAAGTTGGCACTGAGAAGAGGATTTCTTTATGGGTCATTTTTCTAAAAATTGATGCCTGAATGAAAAGAGTGAATGGTTGGCCAAATTCATTTATCATGCAATGCAAGAATGCTACCTTGCAGTCCAAGAGGCAGTTTCACTTACGTATCCAGCAAGTACGTTATTCCATAAGAGTAAACTTTCCTTATCTCCATTCTTCAGATGTATTTTCAATTTCTTTGAAAATGGTCTCTTCCTTCTTAAACTTACTCCAATAATATCATACATAAATCTGAACATGTAGTTCACTTGAATACAAATCACTTGAATACAAATTACGGAAAAAGAAATGTTAACAAGGCACGAGGGGCTCGCCAATGTAACGCATAACCTTCTAAGGATAAACATTCAAATTATTTTCCTCTAATTACAGGTTTCAGCTGGGCTGAAACAAGACGTGACTGCCACATGCTTGTGCAATTAGAGAAGTAGCTATCCTTTCTCTTGGATCATCAAAGACTACCTGTCTCAAAGTAAAATAAACCAGTAAATTAAGTTAGACAATACTTTAAACATAACCCTTACTAATGTCATGATTTATTAAATTAAAATGTCTCAGGCCAACTAAAAATGAAATAATGATAGGCCACAATACACACTATGAGGCTGGGGGCCCAGTGGCCAGAGCCAGATCTTCTTGCCTAAAAGCCCTTAGCTCTCTGGACTGTCTGTGAAAATCCTACACTTGCTCCACGTTCTAGGTCAAAAGTCCTCTGGGCAGAATTCCTTAGTCCCTGCTCCTGGTTCCTCCCACTGCATGATACACCAACCAGTGCTATACTGCTAGCTCAAAGAAGAGGAGACCTTCATTTAACATACTTGAACGTCTCAGTGTCCAGTACGACTCCATATGGAATGAGTGAATAATCACAGGTAGCTTCACATGGTTATATAGCTGAACACTCATCCTGAAAACTGAGCGCAACTTACAACAGAGAAGTGATGTTGTTCTGGAAGCCTAACCCTCCTTTCCCAGGACCTAGACCATAGCCTCTCAATCAGGGTAAAAAAAAGACACACATTCTTAGTCAATCTGTATCTCTTTCTTTTAATTAATACAGCTCTTGTTATCCTAGCTCCACAGAGCCTCATTAGTGGCTAGGTGACAGTCATGCCAATGCCTTCCTGAAAATAAGAGATGAAGATTGCCTATTTCCTTACCCACTACAACTGTGCTCTGTGAGACCTTAGGGAGATGCTTGGTAGAATAAATGTTAGTCTCCCTTCCCATCTTCTGGTGAATACAGACAAATTGAAAAAAAAATTTTTTTTTTTGAGACTGAGTCTTGCTCTGTCACCCAGGCTGGAGTGCAGTGGCGTGATCTCAGCTCACTGCACCCTACGCCTCCCAGGTTCAAGCAATTCTTCTGCCTCAGCCTCCAGAGTAGCTGGGATTACAGGCATGCACCAACACGCCTGGCTAATTTTTGTATTTTTAGTGGAGACAGGGTTTCACCATGTTGGCCAGGCTGGTCTCGAACTCCTGACCTTGTGATCCACCCACCTTGGCCTCCCAAAGTGCTTGGCCTCCCAAAGTGCTGGCCTCCCAAAGTGCTCATTACAGGTATGAGCCACCATGCCTGGCCTACAAATTGAAATTTTAAAAAATGCATACTTGCACATGTTTTGTGTTGCTCAGTGATGACAAGTCTAGATTGTTTTTTCAAAAAAGGAGGATTTCTTATTAACAATTGTACATGTCTAGTTCCAAGTAGATGAAAAAATAATTTTTCTGATTCGTGACAAGATCACTTGATCTGTGTCTATTGTATCACCTAGTGTAGATATGGAGGGGTAGGTTACATGAACATTTTCAAACAAAAGTTCATCCTTGGACTCACAACCAAGATATTTTGTCTAACCAAGAATGTAACTGAGTCACAATAATACTTTGTGTTTACAGACTATGTTCTTAAGATGGTCAGTGTGCCTTAGCAATGTTATGTCACCTTGTAGGGAGCCATGACCAGGATACCATTTTTATTAAATGATGGAAAAACAGTATAGGCATTCAGAAGGTAGATACTGTGCTATATACTTCAAATACGTTATGTCATTTAGTCTACATGATAACACTGCAAGACTGTATTATCATTTCTCTTTTACAGATTAGGAAACTGACTCTTGAAAACTAATTGATTTTCTACGATTCTGGAGCCAGTAAGTGGCAGAGCTTAAAAATCCAAACACATTGACTAGAAAGACAGAAGCCCTATCCGACACGGATGTGTAGAAATTCACTATTTTGAGAAATATATCAACCAAATCACATGCGTCATCAGGATGAAGCAAGAAAATAGAGTTATTATTATCACTCTGTAATCAGACGCAAATTAGAAATAGTGGCATAAGAAAGATTAATACAGGATTTAAAACCTTAACGATATTTTTCAATCTATATACACCAAACTATTCCAAGGAAAATTCTATCAGAAAAATTTCAAGGACACCATTAACACCATCTTTCAGGTTATTTCTACCATGCTAAGACATTTTGCTAATCACATGGGTGATTTTAAAGGCTTAATAAATTAGGCCAGATTATTGTTTACTTTTTTGGGGAAACTGTTCTTCCTTCAAAAACACTGCTCTGAAGGGAACTGTTGATCATGGTAACACTCTTCTCTTGCTTCAGGATCAGGTTTGTGAACTGCTAAGCTAACCACGGTACCACCAGGGCTGATCCAGAGATGGACACAATTCATTTGGAGTTCCTCCCTGGTATTTTTGCAGATGGATATGGAAACTGCTCTGTCCTCCTGGGTTATGAGAATATAAGCCATGGCAGTGGCTGACAGCTAAGAAACAGCCTAGCTGGGAAGTTAAAGCTAAGCTACAGAGGGGTGGTGGGTTGGGAAGAAAGGGTGAGAGAAAGAAGAGGAAAAAGGAGGAGAAAGAATAGAGAGAGGACATTTGAAAAGACACATGGATCACGGAAGGGACAGGTACAGACACATGTGGCTGACTAACCACACTCACAGCAGGTAGAATTCTGCATTCAGGACTTCCACAAGTAAGTTCCACTCTTGCCCTTCTGAGGTTTGACTGTCTAAACAAATAAAATTTCTCTCTCTCTCTCTGTCTCTCTCTTTTTGCTTTGAGGTATTCAGAGCGGGGTTTTATTACCTACAATGATCAACTCAAGTTATGCAAGAAAACATGTTTATTACTTTACTAGGCTAAGTTCTTATTTCCATGTCTGTTCCAAAGGTAATGATGCAACAAGTCAGCAAATACTTATGGAGACACAAAGAGGGGAAAGGCAGTGTGGCTTGCTGAAAGTGAGAGCTATACCAGATATGAGGACACTAATCCCATATGAGGACCATACCAGATATGAGAGCTATACCATATATGAGGACACTAATCCAGATATGAGGACCAACACCGAGTGGTTAACTAAAAAAAAAAAAAAAAAAGACCAATATGCAAATATCAAAAAATTAATGGTATAAAATAGACGTATTGTTAGGCAGTATAAGATTAGCCATTGAAGAAAATAGGTTGATAGTAAATAGGATAGGAGTACAGAGGTGAGAAACAGGTTGGAGAACAGTATCCCATTTTAAGTATTTGTAATTCCACTTGAGGTTCTACTCACACTGATAGTAACTGTACAAGAAGTTTCACACTCTTAAATGACCACACTGGCATTTCCTATCCATGTCCCAGGGCATTCAAAACATTTTGGAAATACTTTTCCATTTAACTATAGAAAATATAAAGTTTACACCAGGCCAGGTGTGGTGGCTCACGCCTGTAATCCCAGCACATTGGGAGACTCAGGTGGGTGGATCATGAGGTCAAGAGATGGAGACCATCCTGGCCAACATGGTGAAACCCCATCTCTACTAAAAATACAAAAATTAGCCGGGCATGGAGGCGGGCACCTGTAGTCTCAGCTACTCAGGAGGCTGAGGCAGGAGAATCGCTTGAACCTGGGAGGCAGAGGTTGCAGTGAGCCAAGATCGCGCCACCGCACTCCAGTGTGGCGACAGAGTGAGACTATGTCTCAAAAAAAAAAAAAAAAAAAGTTTACACCAAAGCAGGGCATAGGTGTGCATTTGGGCAGTCAGATGTCAGATGGGGCGCCACCCTTAGAAGGGCTCTGTGGTTGCTTTAATGCTTTGCTGTCTTGAAATAATTTTTATACAAGAAATTGTGCATTTTCATTTTTCACTGTTTCCTAAGAAGTACATAGCTGGTCCCTCACTAAGGAAAGGAACAGAGTTGTTCTTCAAACAACTCCAACCAATGGTTTTCCTTTTCAAGCAAACTGGTTATCAATTGCCAAGAGGGTAATAGATTTTGCAAGTCAATGGGCAAAGCAGCGTTCTCATCTGCCACGTGTTCTTCCTTAGCCCTTTATTAAAAGCAAATGATTTAGAAAACTGAGAAGTCTGAAGTCAAGAGCACTTGTAAACTGCCAATTCGCAACACTGCTAACATGAATGTAAGTTCACCAAGTGTGAACCCAAAGCCCATCACATAGTTCTAGGACATGACAAGCACAGGATAAAGAACCAAAAAAAATGGATCTAGCTGATTTTATGAGATACTTAGAGAGTGAAGGAAAGCTCATTCTGGGCATGTCAGATGCACATAATGCCACCAAACAGTGGGTTGTTATTGATAATGTCATCTAGAAACAATTCTATCTCATGGAGCATGTGTTAGATGGGACTCTGAGGAGGCTGTCATGGGGCATGTATTAGATGGGGCTGTGAGGATGCTTAGGGAGCAAAGCATCTGAATTAGTCCATCTCAACATTTTCTCTGAGGAAGCATCTCACCAGCTTATATTCTGGTCTATGCTAGCAGAAGAAAGCGACAGGGAGGGTGTCCAGCATCCTGGCCTGGGACCTCCACGACAGGACCAAGCCATTCTCCGACAGCGATGCACTTGCTTACCTGATGTGCATCGGACCAGCTACTCCAAAGTGACAACGTCATCAGTCCCATCTTGCTGATGTCTAAAATCACACCATCTACACTCCATTGAGGACTCTAATCCTAGACATGATGAAAATAATCGCGCAAGGGGAAACACGACTCTTTTCATTTTGAACCTTAGTGTAAATAAGTTTCAAACCCTTTTCTAGGGGACCAGGTTTAGATTAGAGGTAAAAGGAGGAATGTAGGGACTTAGGGAAGGGCATGAAGGGAAGTTCTGTGTGACGTGCTAAAGTTAAAAAAAGAGTTTCCTCTTTACAATCTTCCAAACTGAGCAAGCCTGTTTTTGGTAAATATCACTTAATATATGACTTAGTCTGAAGGAAAAGAACAGTGATTCGCATACGCTTATTTTTAAGCAATTATCTCTTCTACCCCACCTGCATATAATGTAACTGAAAGCTCTCATATTTTACGTTACTGATGCATTTGGAAGCAGAATAAGCTCATTATCTTTAGCAGGCATGTTTAAAGGGTTTTCCTTCTGTTCAAACCATTTTCTTTTTCCACCTACTATTCACTGAGGATAGTTTCTTCTATGACAGACCTATGGAATCTAAGTAATTATTATAGGAGTAAGCGCAAGTCTGGCATGGTTTACAGGCTCTATAAATGTAACCAATTAATTCATCTAATTTAAGGAGGTATCAAAATTGAATTACAACTGAAAACCAGGTGGACAACCATGGTATCATGTGTAAGCAGACCAAAATGAAGACAATAAGCAGAAAACAGTGGAATTTTGTGAACAAAGTTTCTCAGGATGTAACTCTTTCTTTCTTTCTTTCTTTCTTTTTTTTTTTTGAGACAGCCTTGCTCTGTTGTCCAGGCTGAAGTTCAGTGGCATGATCTCGGCTCACTGCAACCTCCGCCTCCCAGGTTCAAGCGATTCTCCTGCCTCAGTCTCGCAAGTAGCTGGGATTACAGGTGCCCACCACAATGCCCGGCTAATTTTTGTACTTTTAGTACAGACAGGGTTTTGCCAAGTTTGCCAGGCTGGTCTTGAACTCCTGACCTCAAGTGATCTGCCTGCCTTGGCCTCTCAAAGTGCTGGGATTACAGGTGTGAGCCACTGATCCTGGCTCACAGGATGTAAGTTTTCTAAAGATCTAAAGCAAAGTTACTGTTAGTGATGTTAGGAAGTATACTAGTTAGTTTGGCATTATGGCTTGCTTTATAGTATAGATTACGTTTCCCTTTAGTTTCCCACTAGACGCAGCTATTTGGGGATGGCGCCCTGGGAGGGCTAGCCTTCTTCATTACTTAATATGTAATATGCCTCTATGGAATTTCATAATCACAGAGACTTTATTCCATATACTGAAGAGGGGACATTTCCCTTCCTGAAAAGATTTATTTTAGAAGGTATCACATAATTCTACAAGAATCTTGAAAGGTCTTTTAAAAAATTTTGACATCTGTGTTTCTTGGTGATATCTGGATGAACTTTTGATATGAGTGGTAAACTGACAATATCCCATGAATTGAGCAAACTATTCCTTTTACCCTTCTAGCCTTTGCTATCTGTTCTTTGAAGTGCGTGGGTCTGCCATTGCAGCAGGGTTGTTCCAGCCTTCTTACGTGGTCACTTTTACGTGGTTTCCTCATGATAGAAGTTGATTTACCCGACAGTGGTCCTGGCAAGCCAGCACCCTAGTTACTCTCTGTAGCATCCCAGCTTCTGTGCTGACTCTTCTTATTAAAACTCCAAATTTTGCCAAATGTCAGCATCCTCTTCAACTTGCTACCCCGGGTTGAGGGCCATCTAATTTTTTCTTCAGGCTACGAAAATTGGCAACCCAGTGGTGCCACACCTAATAAAACACCAGTTTTAAAATGCCATTGTGCAAATGAAAATACCTACCTCTCTTGTAGAAGAAGTTTGTTCTCTTTCTTCCAGAAGTCTTTAAAGTCAGAGCTGAATTCATGCCAGATACTGAAGAAAGCATTTGGGGACACCTCCTTCTCTCCAAGTTTTGGTTTCATGAAGAAATATGCCGTGGTCTCCAAAAAGCTGTCAAATCATACACACACAAAAGCATAAAAGCCATGATTACTTTCCAATATGGGATATTCTTTCTCTATCCAAATGCTGATTTTATTCATGCACAATTATTATTACCAAGAGGACTCAAGCTCTTCAAGCACCAACAGTAGCTCTCTTATGGTTTAAGGTTAAGAGTTTTGGATACAGACAGCAGCAACTGACGAGAATCCTCCACATACTAATAACTACCCCTTGACCAATTCTATTTCAAAATTAATCACTCTGTGTTGGACATACTCCAGAAATGAACTTGTCATCAAGATGAGACATATTGAAAGTGGCGGGCCTATACTTTCTTTCTAAACCCTAAACAAATGAAATATTAACCATGTGTCCCCAAACTAGTATGTAGTCCATATCTATATTATATTGCTTATACACTATTTGCCTTCCTACATTGTTAGAAGGAATAAAAGCAAGAGTCCCAGCCCGGCGCGGTGGCTCACGCCTGTAATCCCAGCACTTTGGGAGGCCAAGGTGGGTGGATCACGAGGTCAGGAGATCGAGACCATCCTGGCTAACACGGTGAAACCCTGTCTCTACTAAAATTACAAAGAAAAAAAAATTAGCCGGGCATGGTGGTGGGCACCTGTAGTCCCAGCTACTTGGGAGGCTGAGAGGCAGGAGAATGGCATGAACCCAGGAGGCACAGCTTGCAGTGAGCCGAGATTGCACCACTGCACTCCAGCCGGGGCAACAGAGCCAGACTCCGTCTCAAAAAAAAAAAAAAAAAAAGCAAGAGATGCTGACAAAGTCTCCTATCAGAGACTACAGTGCTATCATTGAGTAGAGACCAATATGGCAGCCAGGACTTTGACGGTAGATTGCTCAGGGCCAGTTTTCAGAAGGTGCCACTCAGAGGCTGCTTCATATTACAGCTATATGGAGCTCAGAAGAGTTTCAAAGTGGTTATTTGACAAAGAACATACCACTAGTAAATGGTAGGTTTCTGACTTCACAAAAGTCTTCCAGTCCCATGAGTGATGCCCTGAGAAGAATCCTGACCAATACAGTCGATAACGCGTGGCAAGAGAACTGGTTAGAGAAAGGTCAGAGATGCTGCAAAGGAGTGGCATGCAAATAAGCTTGTCTTTTCTTTCTTTCTCTGGCCTGGGGCCAGCACTATTTCTGCTCCACAAAAACTCAAGTTTGATCTACTCTGAAGTAGAAATATCAAAGGCAACTTGATTTTGCTCAGTGACAAAAGTATATATATACATATATAAACATACATACCCTAACATATACACTTACACATATCTCTGTGTGTATTCAGCTTGCCATAGCTGATTTGAAATGTCTATTATGAAAAACAGTTTGAGCATTAAAATATTGAGTTTTTTTTTTTTTTGAGACGGAGTCTCACACTGTCACCCAGGCTAGAGTGCAACAGCATGGTCTCAGCTCACTGCAACCTCCACTTCCCGGGTACAAGCGATTCTCCTGCCTCAGCCTCCCAAATAGCTGGGATTACAGGTGCCTGCCACCATGCCCGGCTAATTTTTTAAAATACTGAGATCTTTAAGGTGAGTTTGCTCAGGAGATAAAAGAGTCAGAGCATTCACACGTAAAAACAAACATTCACAGCTACTCTTGACTGTGGGTTACCAATGTATGACTAATCTGCTCTGTGTTTAAACTTGCCTATGGCTGTCTCTGAGCAGCAAGATTCCCAGGATATCAGCTTTTTAAGCTCTAGGCAGAGACGACAAGACTGATTTAATCAAATGTGTGGATCTCAGGTATTATGTTTTTCTCCTTAGTTAGCCTACTAGAAAAATGACAGAGTACAGTCAATTAAACCTGAGAAAGAGTCAGGCTGTGAAGTGCATACGCTATGTGAGGATCTGGCTGCCACGGGCTATGGTAATGACGTTAGAATGCACCTGGCGGAATGTGTTGATGGCATCAGAACTGCCCGGAGAGTAGATGGCAGAGAACACACAGAGTCTAAGACATATCTGGGTCATATTTTATTAAAACTGATAACATAAACACATACATGCCTTCTCGGAAAACTGGTCATTTTCCTTATATACCTAAAAAGAATGTATGACCTGTTAGGCTGAAGTTAGGTCTCAAGTCTTTTCTATCCATTTATTCATTTTCATCATTGCTCTGGTCTTTGAACTTCATAAAACTGATTATTTCAGAGCAAGCCCACCTGTTTGGGTAGCCATATGTAAGTCGCAATAGCTAGTTCACCCAGTCAGTTATCTTGCAACATTTTGAAAGTTTTATCACGAGGTAGTATGGTATCAAAAGCAAAGAATGTAAGATTTAGAATGAGAAGACATGGAATATTGAATCCTGCCTCTATGACCAGCTATATGAGCAAACCATTTAACATCATTGTGCCTCAGCTTTTCTACTGTAAAACAGAGATTATCATCAACAGTTGTTCTGAAGTCCAATGGGTAAAAATGAATTGCCAAAGTGTCTGTTGAATGTGTCAACACAAAACAAATGTATTTTATATTACATATGTTATATTACATATGCTATATATTTTATATTGCATATTAAATAAATATAAATATATATTTCCTAAAAGTATTCTCTAAATTATAACTAATTCAATTGGGGCTGATTTATTAACAGATTCTCATGTGATCATGTTCTCTGAAGATTTTTTTTTTTTTAGTTACCAGTAGGCACAAAAGCTTCTGATACTAGTGATAATTATTCTGATTATTCAATAATTTCTTCTTGGCTCTGTTATATAAAGCACATAGATTTAGGCAGTTAATTTAACTTCTGAGCCTCAGTTTTTTTCATCTGTAAGTGGTTGCTTTTCAAGGTTGTCATGAAGATTAAATAAAAGTACCTTGCAAGTTATAAACTGAAGTAGTAATATATGTATTCACTTTATAAGAGGCAAAAATTTTTCAATAAAAATGTTCTTTGCATAAAACTTTATGAACCTGTGAGCCAAATGAGTATCCAACAATTGATTTAAAGTCAAATGTGAACCTTATTATTGGCATGAGTCACAATAAAAAGAAACTTTCGCTGGTAGCTATTTCTTTGGATGTGGCCATGGTGAAAGAATAAGTGTACTTGAGTATGTGACGTAGAGTGTCCAGAAGAATTATCTGAGGATCACGAGTGCTGTCTCAGCTGTACACTAGTACTCCCTGAAAGAAAGTGTAAATACTTTAAAAAAAAAAACAAGCAGCCTGTAATCCCAGCATTTTGGGAGGCTGAGGCAGCGGATCACGAGGTCAGGAGATCGAGACCATCCTGGCTAACATGGTGAAACCCCGTCTCTACTAAAAATACAAAAAAAAAAAAAAAAATTAGCAGGGTGTGGTTGTGGGTGCCTGTAATCCCAGTTACTTGGGAGGCTGAGGCAGGAGAATGGCATGAACCCGGGAGGCGGAGCTTGCAGTGAGCTGAGATAGCGTCACTGCACTCCAGCCTGGGTGACAGAGCGAGACTCCATCTCAAAAAAACAAAAAACAAAAAAAAACAAAAAACAAAAAACAAAACAAAAAAAAACAAGCAAATAACAGGACAATAATTTCTACAGATTATCAAGGTATCTTTTATGCCAGAGGCATTTTTGGTTATGTAATCCTGTCCGGCATTAGGTAGCCCTCAGTGAATTCAAACTTGCATAACACGAAAGAGACCCACTTGGGTGGTGGGTGGGAGGGGTAAATTCCATCTTTTCTGAATTATTTCCTTCTTTTAAATCTGAAATCTGGAGGATCCCAGCCACCATATACCAATACAGGATTCACTACAAAAAGACAGACATCTTACCTAGGACCTTCCTTACTACACAGGCTTTTCTGTGAGACTCCCTCGAAATGACCCTGGCACATGAAGAGGTAGTAGTTAAAAGATGTTCAGTTATTTAAAAAAATGCATGATTATAATAACAGATAACTCCAGATGTCACTGAACAATCAACATCCCTGTGGTCTGGATTCTTAAATGGTCCTTTTTTGAAAAGATCAACACCACACGTCTTTTGTTACAAACATTAGACAGTACAAATATACTTCTCTGCAATGGAATCGAGGTACCTGCAGAGCTCTAAAATGATAGCTACAGAAGCAGGACCATTTCGGAATTTCTCTGAATCCCACACAAAAATGGAAAGAGCAACTAATATTAAAAATCAAAGCTAACAGACCTACAAAGACCTAGGTATCTAACGTCCCCAACGAAACTCAAAATTACAGCTAAGGACAAACTCCTCACGACATAAAACCCACCTGGTAACATCATCTGTATAGGAGGAAGCAGAGGGAAGCAACAGGAAATCTCTCCTAAAAGCAGGAAGAACCCTCAAATTACAAAAAGGTATTCCTGAAAAGGGTCAGGGCTAACCTGAGAACTGTGCTGAAACTGGAAGATGTTTTACACAATTGAATGCATGGAACAGAAGAAAGGATGTATAGTAACTTCTGAAAGGACTGGAAGCAGTCTGAGCTGTATGAACTCTTAGTACTGACCCAAGAGAAAACTCCCTTTTAGGGCTAAGCTCTGCGTTGAGAGAAAATGCTGAGAGTGGAATTCAAATTGTGCAGGAAAAACTCAAGAACAAAGAAAATAGAAAATGCAAGTAAAATGCACTTATCATTGTGCAAAAGAAACAAAAGAGGAAACTCTAGAGCACTAAAGTTAGAAATGTTTTCCTCGCGCATCTATTTCTCCTAACATTTCAGTAAAATTAATTCCAAATAAAAATAAGCAAGATGAAAATACTGCAGTGGAAAAAGCTACGTAAAAACACTAACCATAGCAAAGTTGGCCTGGTTTTATTATCTGAGTAGACTTCCAAGACAAAGAACATAACCAGGGTGTTATTTCATAATTATAAAAGCATCCACATTATCAAGAAGACATAACAATCATAAAGATACGCATCTAATGAAACAGTTTCAAAATTCATGAAGCAAAAATTGCAGGACTAAAAGGAAAAAGAGGAAAAATCATCATCGAATTGGATATTTTAACACCTCTTTCTCAGTAGTCAAGAGAACTAGATTAAAATATCACTAACGACACAGAAGAGTTGAATATTATTATCAAAAACTGACCCAGTTGGCATCTGTAGAACATTATGACCAATGGTAGAATATACACGAGAACATGAAATATTCAACATAGACCATATGCTGAGTCATAAAACAAGTCTCAGTAAATTTCAAACTGAAATTATACAGAGTAAGTTCCCTGAGCACAGTGGTATTAAATTATGAAGGAACAAAAATAATATCTAGGTAACATCCAATTTGGCAATTAAGCAAACCTGTGATAAATAACCCATGGATCAAAAAGAAATCCTAAAAGAAATGAAAAAACATTCCAAACTAAATAAAAATAAAAACAAAAAATATCAAAATATACGGGATACAAATAAAGCAAGTACTTAGAGAGAAATTGAACTTTAAAATGAATGTATTAAAAAGAAATGTGTAAAATCAGTTATTTAGACATCAAACTCAAGAAACTGTAAAGGAGCAAATTAAACCCAACTTAGTAGAAGAATAGAAATAATAAAAAAGAACACAAAACAAAGAAATAAAAACTAAATCTTACAGAAAATCAACTCAGTCAGAAGTTGGTTTATTGAAAAGCTTAATAAAATTGATAAACCCCTACCCAGACTGATGAAGAAAAAAAGAGAGAAAATACAAAATATCAATACTAGGGATGAAAGCAGTCATCTTTATAGATCATACTGGCTTAAAATGATAATGTGATGATGTTGTAAACAATTTTATGCCTGTAGATTTGACACCTTAAGTGAAATAAGCAAATTACTTAAACAACAGAACTTTCTAAAACTGACAAAAGAAACAGAAAATATAAGTACCCCTAAATCTAAGACAATTCAATTATTTTCCATAAATAGAAAATTATTTTTTATAAACTGGTAATCAAATTTATCTCCACACTCCAAATAATTCTGACCCTATTTGTTTCACAAGTGAATTAACAAACATTTGATGAAGAAATAAAGCCAATCTTACACTAACTCATCCAGAAAATAGAAGAGGGTATACTTCCCAACTCATTTTATGAAGCCAGCTTTACCCTGATGTTGATATGGAAAACTAAAAAAGATATTATGAAAGAAAAAAAATAAATGTATAGACAAATATCCCTCATGAGCATAAGCAAAAAAAAAAACCTTAATAAAACATCATCAAATCAAATGCAGCAATTTCTAAAGTGGATAATACATAACAAATTAGGGTTTACCCCCATAATACAATTTGGTGTTAACAGTGAAAGCAATCAGTGTAATTTGCCACATTTATAGAATAAAGAAAAATAAATATAATTTTAGTAAGTATAAAAAACATGGAAAAAAATCAACACCAGTTTATTATTACAAAAAGGAAAAACTCTTTGCAGGCTAATCCTAGAAGTAAACTTACACAATTTGATAAATACTATCTATGAAAAACCTACAGTTAACATACGCAATGGTATTTGATATTTTCTTTTTAGTTCAGAAATAAAACAAGGATGTCTGCTCTTCCCAATTCTATTCAACATTGTACTGAAATCTCTAGCCAGTCAATAGAGGAAAAAATTGGAAAGGAAGAAATAAAACATATATATGTGTGTATATATATGTATATATATATATATATATATAAAACATGGTTGTATACCCAGAAAACACTATGGAGTTTACAAACATAACAAAACCTGTTAGAACCAATAAGTGAATTTACTCAGAACTAAATAAGTGAACTTAATATTGATCCCATAAGATACAAGGTAGATATTTAAAAATCAATTGTATTTTTATACACCCTGGAAAAGACCACTGGGGAAAGACATGTTTTAAAGCAATATAATTTGTATTACTATTATAAAACATCAACTATCTAACAATAAATCAAATAAAAGTGTGAAAACTACAAACATTGTTGAGAGAATTTAAAGAAAGCTGAAATAACTGTAAAGGTATAATATATTCTTGGGCTGAAAGATTCAGTAATGTTAACATCCATTTGCCCCAAATTGTTCTATGGATTCAAGGCAATCCCAATCAAGAGTTTTTTTTTTTTTTAAAGGGACTGATATGCTGATTCTAAAATTTATGTAAAAATGTAAAGCATATGAAATAGCAAAAAAGAAATACATTTTTAAAAAAAAGAACATAGGTGAAGGACTTACATTGTCTGATTTCAAGAGTTATTATAAAGCTACATTAATAGAGTATGGTATTGGTATAAGGACCTGGAAGGAGATTTGCACATACAAGGTCATCTGAATTTTTACAAAAGGTGGCGAGCCAATTCAATGCGGGGGTAGGAAAGTTTTTTTTTTTTTTTTTTAATCAAATGGTGCTAGAACAATGGGGTATCTGTTTGGAAAAAAAATCCTTACTCCAATAAAAAAAAATAAGTATTTAGATGTAGAAGACAGAAACATAAGGCTTCTAAAAGAAAACATTAAAAAAGTCTTTACATCTTTGGGCCAAACAAAATTTATTACATAAGACACAAAAAGGACTAATCAAAAGAGAAAAAAAGTTGATAAATCAGACTTTAGCAAAGTAAAAATTCCTTTCATTTAAATATACCATTATGCCATTTCATACTCATAAGAGTTGGCTTAAATCAAAAAGACTTGATAAAGTCTCACATGTTGGGGAGAATGTAGAACAATTAAAATTTTCACACAGTGCTTTTGAGAGTGTAAAATGGCAAACCACTTTGGAGAAGTGTTTGACAATTCCTTATACATTTATACATATATGTATAAATTTATATATGTATAACATGACTCAGAAAACCTACCCTCGCCTATTAATTCCAAGGGAAATGAAACATGAATACAAACAGACTCATACAAGAATGTTCAGGCCGGGTGCAGTGGCTCACGCCTGTAATCCCAGCACTTTGGGAGGCCGAGGCGGGCGGATCATGAGGTCAGGAGATCCAGACCATCCTGACTAACATGGTGGAATCCCAACTCTACTAAAAAACACAAAACGTTAGCAGGGCACGGTGGTGGGCGCCTGTAGTCCCAGCTACTTGGGAGGCTGAGGCAGGAGAATGGCGTGGACCCGGGAGGCAGAGCTTGCAGTGAGCTGAGATCGCACCACTGCACTCCAGCCTGGGCGGCAGAGCGAGACTCTGCCTCAAAAAAAACAAAAAAAAAACAAAAAAAAACAAAAAAGGAATGTTCACAGCAGCCCTGCTAATAATAACCCCAAATTGGAAACCCAAATGTCCATGAACAGGGGAATGGATACACTGTGATCTATAAATATGATGAAATGCTACTTAACAATAAAAAGGAAGAAGTTGCTGATATATCAATATGAAGTTCCTCTAAAAAAATAAGTGACAAAAGCAGAGCCAAAATTATACACGCCATATGATTCCACTTATAAAAGTCCATGCATACACAAAATTAATCTATGTTGACTAATCAGAACAATGATCACCTCTTCAGAGAAGTGTGAAGTAAATACATTGGGAAACACAACTGTTTTAATATTTTGGTTTAAAAGAAACCACTGAAAGGAACACTTAAGATTTGTGCATTTTTAATGTTTACAAATTACGCCTCAACTAACCAAGAAAGGAGGAAGAAAAACAGAGAGAGAGAGAAAGAGAAGTGGGAAAGAAAGAACAATAAGGAGATGAAAAGACGGAATACAGGAGATTGCAAATGGTTCCTAAACAAACTTATTGAAAGAAAACAGGAGCAAAATAATGGCTCTGCAGACCAATGAGAGAAAGACATGTCTATCAAACAAACATGCCAGGAAGACGACATGTCTACTGAACAGATAAAGACTGTTGCCTAGTGTTTTAAAACAGGCTAAAAGATATTAATAAAATGATAAAGGCTATGAAAACAAAACTCAAAATTTTAAAAACTCAGACATAAGGTACAAGAACTTAGTAAAGAATCTGAAATTTAAAATGATCATCTCACACATGAAAACTGAATTAGAAGTAACACAAGAGTTAATAAGTACAACAGCTAATGTCTTAATGAAAACAGAAATAAAATAAGGAAAAGTTTTTAAATCAAAGAGAAATTTTAAAAAAAGATTTAAGAGAAAGTTGTAAGTATGGAAGACAAGAAATTCCTATATGTGTATTATAAAAGCCTCCTGTACTGAAGACAATCAAGGCAATGGAACAGAAACATCATAACAAAAATGATTCAAAATGTTAGTTTGACAGGAAAGATAAGTTCAAGAGCTCTATTATACAACACAGTAATAATAGTTAACAATATGTTGTATTCTTGTAAATTAATACAGTAGATTTAAAGTGTTCTCACTACAAAAGCTGGTAAGTATGTAAGGTAATGCATATGTTAACTAGCTCAATTTAGCCATTCCACAATGTATTAAAGATCCAGAGCTGCCTGGAGAAATGGCTCAATCCAGGTCTCGAGGAAAAAAACTGTTCAAAATGAACCTGGAGTGTCATATCCAAGAAGATAGCAGAGAAGGTCATGTCAAAAGGACTCAAGGTGAACTTAAAGATGGAACATTTTAGCCAGGTGCAGTGGCTCATGTCTGCAGTTGCAACACTTAAGGATGCCAAGGCAAGAGGATCACTTCAAGCCAGGAGTTTGAGACCAGCCTGAGCAACATAGCAAGACCTCATCTCTACACAAAATACAAAATTTGCCAGGTGTGGTGGTGTGCACCTGCCCAGCTACTTGGGAGGGTGGGGTGGGAGGATTGCTTGAGCCCAGGGGGTTAAGGTTGCAGTAAGCCATGATCTTACCATTGTACTCTCTAGCCTGGGCAACAGAGTGAAACTCTGTATTTAAAAAAAAAAAAAGGCGAAATGTTTTGGAGATCAGTAACAATAATAATTGCAAAAGAGTAAAACACATCAAATATGTTTAATTCTATGAGTTCATTACAACGCTTAAGGAAAAAAGAAGATTTCTTCATTTTTGGTGGAAGGTGCTAGCGACACCGCTCATTATTTTGAAAATTGGTAAACTAAAGGAAAGAATCCTGCATTTCCTGTATAAGAAACACACAATTGAATAACTCTATGCCAAATAAGGAAAAGTTTTTCTTTAAAGAAAAAGTATTTCACGGAATAACTGAGAACAAAATAAAAAGTCACCATTTTACAAATTATAAGGAGTTAAAACATATAGACACTGATTCCCAAAGGCTGGTGACATCACAAAAATGGACAACTGAATATGTCAGGCTTCCTCTTGGTAGAACACACCATACCACCTATAAAGTAATTTTGCCAAAATATTCAAACCTGAAGCTGATCGAGTATCTAGAGCTAACTACCTATCTAAAAGAAATACAAGACAGAGGATCGTGTGAAACTACAACACTGAGATAGAATCAGGAAAATCCATACTGTAGAGAAACTCTATAGAACAAATGATCTCATTTCTTCAACGAATCAATTTTAAGTAGAAAAAAGTGTCATAGGGGCACCTATTGTGAAAATGTAAGAGATATCATCTACTTATAATGGTTGGCGTTTCTCTATATCCTGCTCAAAACAAACTGTAACCAAAATAAAATCAGTTGTGGCCAGGTGCGGTGGCTCATGCCTGTAATCCCAGCACTTTGGGAGGCCGAGGCGGGCAGATCACAAGGTCAGGAGATGGAGACCATCCTGGCTAACACGGTGAAACCCCGTCTCTACTAAAAACACAAAAAATTAGCTGGGCGCGGTGGCGGGCGCCTGTAGTCCAAGCTACTCAGGAGGCTGAGGCAGGAGAATGGCGTGAACCCAGGAGGCGGAGCTTGCAGTGAGCCGAGATAGCACTACTGCACTCCAGCCTGGGAGACAGGCGAGACTCTGTCTCAAAAAAACAAAAACAAAAACAAAAAAAAAACCATATATATATATATATATATAAAATCAGTTGTAACATACATGAACTAATTGAATTTTTGAACAATGACTTGGTATTTGGTGATATTAGGGCCTAATCATTTTTTAGGAGTGAAACTGGTGGTGAATATGCTTTCTTTTAACAAGGGTATCTTGGGCCTGGCACGGTAGCTCACGCTTGCGATCCCAAGCACTTCGGGAGGCCAAGGCGGGTGGATCACCAGAGGTCAGGAGTTCAAGACCAGCCTGGCCAAGATAGTGAAACCCCATCTCTACTAAAAATATAAAAATTAGCCGGGCATGGTGGTGCGCACCTGTAATCCCAGCTACCTGGGAGGCTGAGGCAGGAGGAGAATTGCTTGAACCCGGGAGGCGGAGGATGCAGTGAGCCAAGATCATGCCATTGTACTCCATCCTGGGTGACAGAGCAAGACTGCATCTTAAAAATAAATAAATAAAATAAAAGGGTATCTTTTAGAGAAACATACTAAAATATATATGGATGAAATTATATCTGTTGGGGATTTCCTTCAAAAACAATATGGGAGGAGGCAAGCGGGTAGGGTTATAGAGGAAACCAAATTGACTACAAATTGATAGTTGTTGAAGTTGAGTGATGGATAAAATGGAGGGTCACTGTACTATTCTGT